>NC_000021.9:44545441-44699336 GCF_000001405.40 Homo sapiens
ACAAGAGTAGACAACAACACACTCTTCTCAAGTTCACATGGAACAGTTGCCATATTAGACTATACCTTAGGCCACAAAACTAGTCTTAATAATTTAAAATGATCAAACTCATAGAAACTATCTTCTCTGATTATAATGGAAAGAAACTAGAAAATAACAGAAGAAAAACTGGAATTCACAAATATGTGTATATTAAATTACACACTCTCAAACAACCAAGGAGTCAAAGGAGAAACTCAAAGAGAAGACAGAAAATACTTTGAGATGAATAAAAAAGAAAACACAGCAAACCAAAACTTATGAGATGCAGTGAAAGCAGTATGTAGAGGGAAATTGATAACTGAATGCTTACATTTTAAAAAAAAATAAAGATCTCAAATCATTAATCTAACTTTATATCTTAAGGAACTAGAAAAAGAGGAGCAAACTGAATCCAAATTTAGCAGAAGGTAGAAAATAAAGACTAGAGCACAGAAAAATGGAATAGAAAGTAGAAAACCAGTAGAATCAATGAACCCCAAAGTTGGTTCTTTAAGAAGAGCAACAGATTTGACAAATCTTTATCTGTCTAGATCTTTATCTAGACAAATATTTATCTAGATTAAAAGATGACAGATTCAAATAATTAAAATCGTAAATGAAAATGGGAATATCACTACTGACCTTACATTAATAAAAAGGATTATAAGGAATACTATGAAAATTTGTACACCAACAAATTAGATAACTAATATGTAATGGAAGAATTCTTATAAACACACAAACTACCGACATGGCTACCTTTCCTTCATATGGCTCCAGGTTACTGTCTAGTGCCCTTTTATTTCAGCCTGAATTAGCATTTCTTGTAAGGCAAGTCTATTGGCAATGAGCTTTTTCAGGTTTTATTTACCTTGAAATGAATCACTTTCTCTTCAGAGTCTCGCTCTGTTGCCCAGGCTGGAGTGCAGTGGTGCGATCTCTGCTCACTGCAAGCTCCGCCTCCCAGGTTCCCACCATTCTCCTGCCTCAGCCTCCTGAGTAGCTGGGACTACAGGCTCCCGCCACCAGGCCCGGCTAATTTTTTGTATTTTGATTGGAGTTTCACCATGTTAGCCAGGATGGTCTCAATCTCCTGACCTCGTGATCCACCTGCCTTGGCCTCCCAAAGTGCTGGGATTACAGGCATGAGCCACTGCGCCCGGCCCCTCTTTCATTTTTGAAGGATAATTTTGTCAGATGCTGATGCCTTTTTGGTTGTTGGTTTCCCCTGCCGCTGTACCCCAAGCCAGCATGTGAAATATGTCATCCCAATGCCTCTGGCCTCCATGGTTTCTGATGAGAAATTCGCTGTTAGTCTTCTGTCCAGCAGCTTTCTAGATTCTGTTTTGACTTTTGAGAATTTGATTACACTGTGTTTTTGTGTGATTCTCTTTGAGTTTATTCTACTTGGGGTTCACTGAGTGGCTTGAATGTGTAGATTGGTATGTCTTCTCAATTTGGGAAGTTTTGGCCATTATTTCTTCAATTATTTTTTCTGCTCCCCCTGTCTCCCCTCCATCTGGAAATCCAGTTAAGTGTGTTGGTATGCTTGATGGTGTCCCACAGGTCTTCTAAGATTTGTGCATTTTTCTCCATTCTCACATCTACTCCCCTTTGTCTCAGCTACTCCTCAGACTAGAGTATATTAATTCGTCTGTCTTTATGTTCACTAATTCTTCCACCTGATAAAATCTGCTGTTGAAACCCTATCATGAATTATTTATTTCAGTTGTTGTAATTTTCAATTCCAGATTTTCTGTTTGGTTTCTTTTTAAAGTTCCTATCTCTTTATTGATATTCTCTATTTGGTGAGGCATCATTCTCCTGGTTTATCTTAATTCTTTGTCTGTGATTTTATTTAGTTTTTTGAACATGTTTAAGAGAGCTGATCGAAAGGCTTTATCTAGTAAGTCCAATTCTGGGCTTCCTCAGGAAGATTTTCCATTAATTGCTTTCCCCCCATGAGTAGCTCATATTTCTTCCCACTTTGTCTGGTGAAAACCAGACAGTGACTATTACAATGGGATATTTCTGGGTATCAGGTTCTCCTCCCTCTGTGCAGTTTGCTGTTGCTGATTGTTGTGGATTGTGGTTGTTTTTGCTTGTTTATGTCAAGTTAAAAAATAGTTTCTTCATCATGTGTGCTCACTTTCTATTAGCTTGGTGCTAAGACAGTAATTTGACAGAGAGTTCCTTAAACGCCTGGAATCAAAAAATTGTTTTTCTTCAGGGTTTGTAGCTGGGCTCTGTGTATTGGTCCACACCCCCCAGCACTCGGCTGGGGAGTTTGCGACTCTGCCTTCCCCTTCACTTCCTGCTTGCATCTTCACTTCCTGCTTGCACCTTTACTTCCTGCTTGCACCTTCCCTTCCTGCTTGCTCAGAGCCTGAAGTTCAGCCAGAGGTGAGCACTGAGAGCTTCTCAGGTCTTTTCTGAGCTGGTGCCCCATCATGGGCATGCGTGGGGGCCTTCTGGACTCCCAAGAGTAAGTGGGATCTCCCACCTCCCTTATTCCTCAAAGCATGTCATCTTCCAGCTTTTCCTCCCAGGCTTTTTGGGCATGCCCAATGTTTTCTGGCTGATACCTTTGGCCCCAGGTGGCATTGACTGTTTAATGTTCTGACAAAGCCTCAGTGTAGCTGCTCTCTGCCTTGAGTCTGATTTGGTGAAATAAGGCAAGCCCTGTGTGTTAGTCCTTCAGGGAGCCACCAGATGGGTAGAAACAGACAACTGCACTGCCTTGCAAACAAGGTCCCCTCTGCTTCCCTGGCAACAGCATCCCACATCAGAAACTCGGGCTGCTGCCTTCCTGACTGTCACCCAGCTGGGGAGTGGGGGATGGGGCAAGGGGGAGTTAAAATCCACAAGGTTGTCCTATTGGGTTGTGCTGCTTTTTCTTGATTATGTGTTCCCTTGACTGCTGCAAACCTTCAAGTATTTTCCAGAGTTCAGATAAAATTGAACTCCACCCCCTTTGTTGGGGTGGGTGGGTGGACGGCAGGTGGGGATGGGAAGGTCTTGGGGAAGTGATGGCGGAGGAAGCCCAGGACAGTGTGGGACCACGTCCAAACCAGAGGGTGGGAGAACACGTGAACACGTGAACATGAGTGCAGATGGAGCCAGTTTCAAACAGGATTGAACAAATCCGAGAGTAGACTCCTAGAAATACAACTGCAGAGCCAGGGGACGCTGGCCGGGGACGGTGGGTTTGTTTATTTGGGTTTTGCCAGTTTCTGATGTTCCGTGGAGGGACAGGCCCTCACAGTTCCCCGCTGCACCATTTCCTCTGACGTCGGTATTCACAGGCACAATTAGGGACCATCTTTGGAGGGCATTTCTCAGTATCTCTAAGAATTTTAAATCCATGAACACTCTGCACCAGCAATGCCACTTTTAGGAATTTAGGCAAAAATGTACCTGAGTGTGGAAAGGTATATGGTAGAAACACCCACAGAGGTGTTAGAGATAGAACTCAGAGTCGTAAGGAAAACGAGCGCTTAGACAAAGGACTTTTTAGCAAAGCAAATTTATCTTTGCGCAGAGAAGTGCCTCTCACGTGGCCGGTTGCCACGAGAGCACACAGAACAAAGGAGAGTGAAAGTTTTTATTTTTGACGCAAATCCTGCCCCTGTGCCCTTTTTTAACTGGCTGGGGTCGGACCACACAATCTAAGCTAGACCCGATTGGCTAAACATTTAGGGGAAGGGGTCGTCTGCGGCGAGCTAGAGAGTCAGTCTTTTCTCAAATAAGGAAAGGAATGTGAGCTGGTGCTGTGGCATGCCTGGGCGTGTAGGAAAAGCAGAAGGAAAGAAGAAGAAAGACATGGGGAGGGGTACTGGGAATGAAACACTAAAGGACTGATCAGGCTGTTTGAAGAGAAACCTTGCCATATCTCACAAGAGGTATCGTTTGTAATAATGAACAACTGGAGAGACAGTCAGGGCCATCCACCTGGCGTTGCAGACACCAAGTGCGGCGTGTCCACACTTTGGAACGCTGTACACCTTGCTGAAGAAAACCATGAGAAAATAGTTTTTAAAATCAACCCGGACAAAAAAAAGAATAATGTGTGCCCCCCGCATTGTGATTGTATAGCTGTGGAGAAGTAAAGACTCAGGGCCTCTTGCGGGCAACGTGGTGACGGTCATACCTCGCCAGCATCCCTTGCCTGCATTTGCATTTCTAGGAGTCTATTCTCAGATTTGCTCAATCCTGTTTGAAACCACATCTGGCTACATCTGGACCTGTGCGTCCACGTGTTTCTCTCGCCCTCTGGTCTGCATGTGTCCCCATGCTGTCCTGCACTTCCTCTGCCATTGGGGCCTTGCTGTTCCCACCGGCCCTCCGCCCACCCAGCCCAGCACACGGAGCTCTGGAGGCCGCGTCTCTGTTCTCTGCTCTGCATCCCAGCTGTAAGCCTGGTGCAGGAACAGAGGGCGCCCCTGAGCGTATGTGAGTGTGCGCAGGAGGCCAGGATGCCCAAGCTGTCCCTGAGTGGAACTCCCTGAGCGCAGGGACAGCTGGAGCCCAAGTCTCCCGCCGTGTCCCACCTCCCAGCACAGCTGGGGCCTGCCACCCCCCGGGACAGCCCCAACCCTTGCCATGGGAAGGAGCTGCTTCTACCCACAGTGCGTGGGGCGTTGGCCTGAGTCATGTGGTGTCTGTGGGACTCAGCCAATGAACAAGGCTTTTGGGCCCCACAGGACCTGGGAGGGGAGCCGGACAGCAGAACGTGCCACGAGGTGGACAGGAGCTTCCAGGTGTCACACAAGAGCCCCCCGGGGCCCCCAGCTGGGGAAGTAAAGAGATCCACGGGGCCCAGCCCCCCAGAGCCAGGCCAGGCCCCACTCTGCCCCCTCCCGCCCTGGGTGCGGAGAGTCAGCACGGAGTCAGCTGGGGCCGCAGACGCTTTATTGGTGCTCAGAGGCAGAGGGTGACGCTCCTGGGGGTGAGACCCAGGTCAGGAGGGCCCATCCCCAACCAGCGACCAGCGACCAGCGGAGGGTTGTGGTCTGCAGCCAGGAAGCACCGTGAGGAGAAGCCAGGGCTCGCCCGCCCGGCGGGAGGTCAGAGAGGAGCCAGTGAGCATCTGAGACCCCGGGGCTGGGCGGCTGTGGCTGGGGCTGCTCCTTCTGTGCTGAGCTGTGCTGAGGCTGGGTGGGCTGGGAGGTCCAAGGACTGGCAGGGAGGTGGGGCCTGAGCCCGGCTGGCCCTGGGGGACATGGCCATCAGCAGCTAGACTTTTGGCCTGAGGAAAAGCTGCAGGAGGCTGGGCGGGAGCACACGGGGCGGCAGAGGAGGGACACAGAGGAGGAGGGTCTGCAGCAGGAGGAGGTGCAGCAAGCTGGCTGGCAGCTAGACTGCTGGCAGCACGGAGAGGAAGCCCCAGAGCAAACAGGTACACAGCAGATGGACTTGCAGCAGACAGGCTTGCAGCAGACGGACACACAGCAGGACTGCTGACACGGGGAGGAGGTGCAGCAAGCCGGCTGGCAGCTAGACTGCTGGCAGCATGAAGAGGATGACTCAGAGCAGGTGGGCACGCAGCACACAGCTTTGCAGCAGACAGGCACACGGCAGGACTGCTGGCAGGAGGAAGAGGCACAGCAAGCTGGCTGGCAGCTAGACTGCTGGCAGCATGAAGAAGCCCCACAGCAGACGGGCACACAGCACACAGGCTTGCAGCAGACGGGCACGCAGCAGGCCTGCTGGCAGGGGGAGGAGGTGCAGCAAGCCGGCTGGCAGCTAGACTGCTGGCAGCACGAGGGCGTGCAGGAGCTGGTGCAGCCTGATTGGCAGGCGCTGGGCTCACAGGCCGCCTGGCAGCAGGGGCTGGACACACAGCTCACTGGGGTGCAGACCAGGGTCAGGCAGGGGGCTGGGGCACAGCAGCTGGGGGTGCCGCAGGGGAGCTCACAGCAGCTCTCTGGGCAGTCGTCCACCTGCCAGGAGTTGGTGCAGGCGCTGGAGCAGATGGACATGGTGGAGGCGGCCATGCTGGAGTGGGGAGGAGGTGAGCTGGGGGAGGTGTGTGAGTGAGTGAGTGTGTGTGTGAGTGTGTGAGTGAGTGTGTGTGTGAGCCTGTTGGCTGCTGGGGCTTTTATATGCCCAGGGCCTGTGTTTTCCCAGCAGGAGACTCAGCAACGCCCTCCACTTCCGTGTTGGTGTTTGGAGCCGGGAGGACCCTCATTATTTCTGCTTCCTTTGCCATGACTTGTCCTCACTCTGCTCCTAACACTCGGCTGGTCCTGGGCAGGACCGGCGCCCCTGGCTGAGCCTGTCCCCCGGGAACACCAGGAGGGAAGGTGTGGCCTCTCTGGGGCTGACCTGGTGACTTCCACCTGGCAGGTCCCGTGACTGTGCCCAGCGTGAGCTCTGGGCCCGGGGGAGGCCCAGCCTCTGTCTGCAGGGACCTCACAGGGTGGGCTGGCGTGGCTGTGATTGGGAGAGCCAGGATGGAGGTGCCTGTGTTGGGAAAAGACGCTTGAGGACAGCGCTTCCTGGCGGGCTCTGGGATCTTCTGAGATCCTGATGTCTGCCAAGAGCAGGAGGACAGGGAGGACCTCCCCTCCTCTGAGAAGGAGATGGAATGTTCTGGCAAGGCCTCTGGACAGTCAGCTCATTAGGAGGACAAGGTTTGGGGACTGGCCTTTGGGTCTGGACTGTTGTCCCCTGGAGCCCTGGTCAGGTGTCCTGAGAGTGGTGGGTGCAGATCCAGGCCTGGGGGTGGGGAGGGGCCTCTGCCTTGAGGAGGTGGATGTGGAATGAGGGTCACTGGAGAGTGAAGGACACTTGGGGTGGGCAAAGCCAGCCTGTGCTTGGGAGGTCATCAGGCAGGACAGGCCCTGACCCCGGGGCAGGGACCGTCACAGGTGAGCTCCTCTGTCTTGGGGCCTGAGCCCAGCATGGCCTGAAGCTGGTTCTCACCAGGAACCAGCAACATCTCCCAGTGTCCTTCCAGCCTCTTTCAGCTGGGGATGAGGCTACGGCAGCCTGGGACGGGCTTTCATGGTGGCCCAGAAAGCCTATAGCGCTAGGGAGGCTCACTGGAAGCTCTCCTGTCATAGCGTAGCAGGAGGTGAGCAGGCCCCTGGTCACCAGAACCTTTCTCTGTTGTCCTACAGGGCCAGTCAAAGCAGCAAGCCGAGAAATAGAAATGAGACGTGAACCTCTGTTATTCGCAGGTGACACAATTGTCCACCTAAAGATCTGAGTCACTGCCATTGTGACTGTCACTGGCCATGTGCACCGGCTGGACGTGGGATAAACTCACAGCCCCCAACAGCCCCTCCCTGCACACCTGCCTCGCCATTGTGATGGAAATTCCATCTGAACCTGGGGCCTCCAGCACGTGCCAGTCACTCCGCCCTCCATGGCTGTTGTCAAACAAGCCCCTCCGACCTCTCAGGGGTGATGTCTGTGAAGACTCAGCTCCCGACAAGAGCCTCTCATCTGAAGACGCAGGGCAGTCAGCACTGGGAGCCAGGGTGAGAGCCGAAGGGAAGCCGAGGCAGCGGCGTTCCCTAATGGAGTATGAGGGGGAGGGTCCCACAGACCTGGAGCTGCAAATTATAGCATGTGACTGTAGTGACAGCTTCGGTGATCTTAGAAAATGACCCCCTAGTAGCACTGATGATGAAGCTGGTGAGGTCGGAGCATGTGGCTGCGCCAGGGAGCATTCCAAGCACTTGGCATCTATTAATTCACTGAATTTCGGCATTAACTTCTTGTCGAAGTTACTATGGACAGACGCGGAAGCTTCAGCAGAGAGGTTGAGCAATCTGCTCAAAGCCACACAGAAAACAGTGACAGAACCAGGACTAGAAGCCAGCCGGTCTGTACATAGGATCTACATTCTCAACCAGTGAGTCTCCGATTCTAAAAATAAAAAATGTTGAAGATGAAAGACAGCAAGTCTTCAATACCAAATTTAATACCAAACAGCTGGATTAAAAATTCACATCAGAAGCAGAAGAGCAAAACTAATACCACAGAGAATCAATTCAATTTTAAGTCCAAACATGAGTTCTTCCAAACGCCGAGGTAAAGGATAAAATTCACAAATATAATGAGAGAAAAGATAACAAACAGAGTGTATATTTAGCTGAGACAAAACCTGAAAATTCAATTGCTAGGGAGAAAAAAAAATAAGATCAAAGTAATAAAGAAATAATTGAGGATCAGGTATTCTGGGCTGAATGGACAGAGGTGTGTGTATTTGGAGTAGAAGAACTTAATGAATTTCAAGAAAATCAGGCCACCTAGACATGCATTGACGAGTTTTTCAATGTAGAAGACCTAAGAACAGGCCTCTCACAGGCAAGACGAATAATACACGATCTGGAAATGAACTGCCTCAGGCTGACCTCAGACCCCTGTCCCACTAACCAGGGTATGGCAATATCCTCAGGGCTTCCAGGGCAATCTTTGGTGGACTAAGGCTCTAATTTTCCTTTTTTCAAATTATTACATCTTTCTCAAATAAAGATAACAGCGATGTATTTTCACAAAAGCAAGAGCTTAGAAAGTACTCCACCCAGGTATCCCTCTTGGAAAAAATGCTTAAGGAAATATGACAAATGGCAAAGTGATTGTTATGGATGGAATGTTTGTATCCTCCCAAAATTCACATGTTGAGACCCTAATTCCAATATGATGGTATTAAGAGGTGGGGCCTTTGGGAGGTAATTAGGTCAGGAGGGTGGAGCCCTCAAAAATGGGATTTGTGCCCTTTAAAGAAGAAACCGTGGAGAGATTATCTGGGCCACGTGAGGACAGCAAGAAGGTGGCTGTCTGTAGACCAGGAAGAGAGCCCTCTCCAGAGCACCACCATGTGGCACCCTGACTGATCCTGGACTTCCAGCTTCCAGAACTGGGAGAAAGAAATGCCTGCTGCTCAAGACCCTCCAGTCCACGGCAATTTGTTATAGCAGCCCCAACTGACTGTGACAGAGAAGAAGCAAAGACAAGAGTTCCAGAACGTAGAAGCTGGGGTATCAAAGGGCTGGCCCAGATACAAAGACAGGAAGACACTGACCTAGGTCCAGATAACCAATGTGCTCAGTTATAACTGCAAATGCAAATTTCACATATTTTATAACAGATGCATACAACAGATGCATATTCTACATCCTAATTGAATGGCAGTGATAATATTCTAATACTTTACTGCATGCTAGTGTGAGAGGCCGCTAACCACACGTGGCTCTTGAGTGCTTGAAATGTGGCTCATGCCAGTTGTGGAAATGGTAACATTCTGGATGTACCGGGTTAAATAAGATCTATTGTTAAATTAATTGCACCTGTTCCTTCTGCCATCTTTAAATGTGGCTGTTATAATATTTAGGATTGTATGTGCGGTTCTGTTTCTACTGGAATATGCTGTATGTTGTTTTCAATCAAACAAGAAAGACTGAGAAGCGGGTGGGGGTGGAACCGTGGGCTGATGTTGAGGAGAGCAAGATTAATTCTGTTTTAAATAGAAATTCTCGAATTGCGGTTCCATTCCTCACTTTAATAGTTAAAAAATAAGCATAAAGGTAAACTTAAAAGCTATTTATTGGTACAATTAAAAACAGAATGTATATTTTTCAAAACAGCAAATAAAAGTAGAAGAGAAAAAACAAACCGTGGTGGATATCCTAAAGACGGAAAAGCAACCGAAACAGGCGGAAACCTCAAAAGCAGAGAAGACCATGAAAACGTGAGGAGGAGCAAAACAGCCAGTTGGAAAGGAAAGGAAATTGCTCCTGATGTTTCCTATTAGATGAGAACATTTCTCAAAACGGTTTATAAAATAAAAACCGAAATAAGGTAACTAATGTCACCATTAAACAGTAACGGGAGGGAAAAGAGACGTCTCCCAGGTCCGACGGCTGCCGGGGCCCACACAGAGCCTCCTCTCCCATCCTCCCCAAGGGGTGACGGCACACAGCCTAGAAATGGGGACTCCCGCACTAGCAGGGCCCCCACATCCCACAGGATGAGCCAAAGGGAGGGCAGCCTGGCTCAGGACTCCCTGAAGATGCAGAAGCCGTGTTCCCTTACAGAGTCCCACCCAGTGGGGAGACGTGGGCACTTGGCTAGGCCAGCTGGCCAAGGGCTGTGGGAGATGGGCGGTGAAGGGCACCAGGATCTGGGAGCCCTAGTGTGAGAAGTCCCCTCCCAGTCCTTATGTGGTGAGTCCCCCACCCCGGCCACACACACATCCCACCCCCCTTCACAAGCAGGGTAGAGGCTGCACACACACAGTCATGGGGCTCAGGGCAAGGCAGCCTTGCTCTGGGCTACTGATCAGACCCAGGACAGAGAGGTCTGGGGACAGCCCTTCCTGCCATGCCTGCTCCCCTTGTCCTGGTGGCTGGGCTGGGAGCTTGCAAAGGAAAATGACAGTGACAAGGGGCCTGTGTCCTTCTGTCCTGGAAGCCTGTGACACTCGGACAGGGACTTCCAACTGTGTATTGCATTTGCACAGACATGCCATCGAAACTGCAAAGGAGTAAATGACTGCTGGGACAAGTTAATAGATACAGCGGTTCAAAGGAAAAGACCTACTCAAGAATTAAGGAATCCTTGTGAACAACAGGGGAAGGTTACAGAAAATTTCCAGTTATTCTTAAGAATTAAGAAGTCGTGCCGGGCACGGTGGCTCACGCTTGTAATCCCAGCGCTTTGGGAGGCCAAGGCAGGCAGATCGCGATGTCAGGAGTTCAAGACCAGCCTGGCCAATGTGGTGAAACCCAGTCTCTACTAAAAATACAAAAATTAGCCAGGTGTGGTGGTGCACACCTGTAGTCCTAGCTATTCAGGAGGCTGAGGGAGAAGAATAGCTTGAACCCGGGAGGCAGAAGTTGTACTGAGCGGAGATTGCTCCACTGCACTCTAGCCTGGCAACAGAGTGATACCCGCTCTCAAAAAAAAATAACAACAACAAAAAAAAAAACCAAAAGACCGGGTGCAGTGGCTCATGCCTGTAATCCCAGCACTTTGGGAGGCCGAGGCGGGTGGATCATAAGGTCAGAAGTTCAAGACCAGCCTGGCCAAGATGGTGAAACCCCGTCTTTACTAAAAATACAAAAAAATTAGCTGGGCATGGTGGCCTGCGCCTGTAATCCCAGCTACTCAGGAGGAGAGGCAGGAGAATCCCTTGAATCTGGGAGGTGGAGGTTGCAGTGAGCCGAGATCGCACCACTGCACTCCAGTCTGGGCAACAGAGCCAGACTCCGCCTAAAAAATAATAGAAGTTGCTCCAGGGATTCCAGTTCTGGAAACCTGTTGATGAGATTGTTTGACCCATCATCCTGCTGAAAACAATTGAAAACACTAGGAAGAATCTTCCTAGTTGCAACAGGAAACTGGAAAAGGAATAAAGAATTACAGGATTACAGGCCCAAATCAAAGACAGGGGTCTTTGCCCTTTTTGCACAAGGGAACTTCCCGGCCACCTCGTGAAAGCTTTGGAGGTTTTCAGATAAGTAAAAGGAAACCAACTTCATGAAAACACTGCTGTTACACTATGAAAAAGTGAACTGGTGAGATAGCATGTACTTCCCTAGGGAGCATGTGCCTGGTGGGACCCAGCAGGTGCATCTCGCGCTACCATAATTATGAAACAGCAGTGGCCAGAATGAGGTTTTGAGCATTTGCGGCCGGCATAATGTGACGCCACGCATCTCATTCCTGTTGGTGACAAAGCTGCAGGTGCTGCCATAGGTTTTGTCGGCTACATGAGAGGGTTCCTCACATAAGGCAAAAGAAAACACACCTGTCTTAGAGGCCTCAAAAATGCCCACAAATACTTTCCAAGGACAAAGGTGGTTACTCAGCTGCAAACAGTGAAGCACACAAGGAAACGACACCATGAGCGAGAACTGGTGGAAATGACAGAAAGCTGAAATGGACCCACAGAGACTTCAGGCATTGGGATGACCGTGCACAGATATTTGAAATAAGAGATCAGCTCTAAAATGTCTTCCAGGAATGAGAAATATTTATTTTATTTAATAAGAGAGGGCTGGTGAGAAGATGATGAGTGGGGGTCAGACAGGCAGAGGAAGGAGAGAGGGGGAGGAGCTGAGCCCAGGGAGAGGCCGGGCCGGGTGGGTGTGGGGGATTCACAGAGAAGCACCCCCGGGGCCTGGAGACGCTGAGGCTGGCAGGAGAACCCCACAACAGCAGACCCCGCACAGCGGGAAGTCAGGACTGCCTCCGCCCCTGGTGCTGTCAGCCTGGATGCAGCTCAAGGCCAGAGTCCCGAAGCTCCCACCCCACGCGGCACGTTGAAGTTCTTCCCACAGGGTTTGCCAGATATGCAAAAAAGACCTCTGAGAGGGCACATTGGTGACTTTATTTGTTGACAGACTGATCACTCACATGGGGCAGGACACAGTGACCACCGGCTGGCCAGCATGGAGATGAGGGTGTGGGAGAGATGCATGCCTGGAGGGAATCGGCATGAAAGCTCAGCATTGCTGGCTGGAGGTGCAGTGGCTATGGGCAGAGGAGACTCAGACAGGGCTCAGGGCTGCAAGGATTTTCGGAAGTCAGAGATGGCCCTGGAACAACTCTGGAGAAACGGGACCTGCCCGTCAGCAGCTGGACTTCTGGCCTGAGGAGAGGCCGCAGCACGCGGAAGAGAGGCGGGAGCACGTGGGGCGGCAGAGGAGGGACACGCAGGAGGCCGGGCGGCAGCAGCTGGGCTGGCAGGTGGAGGCAGGGGCACAGCAGGAGGGGATGGGCACACAGCAGGTGGACCTGCACACGGGGCGGCAGAGGAGGGACACGGAGGAGGAGGGTCTGCAGCAGGAGGTGGTGCAGCAAGCCGGCTGGCGGCTAGACTGCTGGCAGCATGAAGAGGAAGCCCCAGAGCAGACGGGCACACAGCAGATGGGCTTGCAGCAGACAGGCTTGCAGCAGACGGGCACACAGCAGACTGGCTTGCAGCAGACAGGCACGCAGCAGGCCTGCTGGCAGGGGGAGGATGTGCAGCAAGCTGGCTGGCAGCTAGACTGCTGGCAGCACGAGGGCGTGCAGGAGCTGGTGCAGCCTGACTGGCAGGGGCTGGGCTCACAGGCCGCCTGGCAGCAGGGGCTGGACACACAGCTCACTGGGGTGCAGACCAGGGTCAGGCAGGGGGCCGGGGCGCAGCAGCTGGTGGCGCAGCAGGGGGGCTCACAGCAGCTCTCTGGGCAGGCGTCCACCTGCCAGGAGTCAGAGTAAGCGCTGGAGCAGACGGACATGGTAGACGTGGCCATGCTGGGGTGGGGAGGAGGTGAGCTGGGGGAGACGTGAGTGAGTGAGTGTGGGAGTGAGTGAGGGAGTGAGTGAGTGATCGTGCCAGGCCTCTGAGTGGTCGGAACCTTTATACCCCTCTGTGTTGATTGTGCTGCCCCTGCCTGGCTTCGAGAAGCCTTCCTCTTCCTTGTTGTTGTTGTAGGCACTGTTGTGTTAGTAGTGTTGGTTCATTGTTTGTGGATGTTCTGGTTTGTGAGGCTCCTGACTGGAGTTAGGGCTTCCCTAATGTGGGCTTGTCCACAGAGATAAACTAGTAGAAATATATTGATTGCATCAAAGCACACTGCAGAAGCAGGGACAGTGGCAGTTAGGAGATATTCTGGAATTGACAGCCCTCTGCTCCATCCCAGGAGGAGTTTGCACTTAAAAAAAGACTTCTACACCTAAGGAGGGATGAGGTTAGGAGAACCTCAGTTTCTGGGCCTTGAGGAAAGGGAGAGATGTGTTCTGCTGTGGACAAGTTTGAAGATGCTCAGTTGGCCTGGCCACACGGCGAGATCCACCCTGTGGGTTGACACTGCTGGTTGTCAGTGGGAACCATGGGGCATATTTCTGCTGGGGGTGAGCCCTGGGGCAGGTGTGAGGGAATAGTGTCTTCCTGGGCAGAGATTGGCTCGCAGAGGGGAGCAGGGAGGCAGCTGCAGGCCCAGCACAGTAGGGATGGAGATGAGGGGCAAGCACCTTTGTTTCATTTCACGTTGAACTGTTATGGGGCCTTCCCCCGGTGGTGTGCACAATAGTGTTCACACCTTCTCCTCTCACATCTCGGGCAACATCACCTGCAATGGTGTCCTTGGGAGCTCCAAGGTCTCTTCCCTTATGGGCCAGAAAGTCATCAGAATGTATTAGTTCTACTGTTGGCTCCTGGACATTGTCATAGTAAATGTACAAATAAAAGGGTCTGATTGCAGAGCCTTGTCTCACAAATACCTATACACCTGTGTGTATCAGCCCATGCCTGTGCCCGGGACCATACCTGTGCGCTAGTAAGCCCCCAAAGTTCTGATCATGGATCCCTCATCTCCTCACTCTATGATCGCTATTTTCTACTAAATCTTTGAAATGGCAAAGGCAGAGGCTCTGATGATGCTCTAGGCTGCAGGGCTTTCCAAAATTAGGCCAGGGGTCCACTGAGTGCTTGGTGGGGGCCCATAGGCTGCAGGGTTTGAAGCCTCTGACCTTTGATGAGTATGGCTAAGGGCTCTGTTGGAGGACTACCTGGCAAAGTCAGACTACAGTGGAAAAATATTATTTCATAGAAATAATAGCTGGACACAGACTGGCAAATTGGATGAAGAGTCATGACCCGTCAGTGTGCTGTATTCAGGAGACCCATCTCACTTGCAAAGACACACATAGGCTCAAAATAAAGGAATGGAGGAAAATGTACCAAGCAAATGGAAAGCAACGTAAGCAGGGGTTGCAATCCTAGTCTCTGATAAAACAGACTTTAAGCCAACAAAGATCAAAAAAGACAAAGAAGGGCATTACATAATGATAAAGGGATCAATTCAATGAGAAGAGCTAATTATCCTAAATATATATGCACCAAATATAAAAGCACCCAGTTTCATAAAACAAGCTCTTAGAGACCTACAAAGAGACTTAGACTCCCACACAATAATAGTGGGAAACTTTAACACCCTGCTGTCAATATTAGACAGATCAATGTGACAGAAAATTAACAAGGATATTCAGAACTTGAACTCAGCTCTGGATCAAATGGACCTAATAGACATCTGCAGAACTCTCCACCCCAAATCAACAGAAGATACATTCTTCTCAGTGTCACATGGCACTTATTCTAAAATTGACTTTATAATTGAAAGTAAAACACTCCTCAGCAAATGCAAAAGAACTGAAATCATAACAAAGTCTACCGGACCACAGTGCAATCAAATTAGATCTCAAGATTAAGAAACTCACTCAAAACCACACAACTACATGGAAATTGAACAACCTGCTCCTGAATGACTCCTGGGTAAGTAACGAAATTAAGGCAAAAATCAAGAAGTTATTTGAAACCAATGAGAACAAAGAGACAATGTCCCAGAATCTCTGGAACACAGCTAAAGCAGTGTTAACAGGGAAATTTATAGCACTAAATGTCCACATCAGAAAGCTGGAAAGATCTCAGATCTACACCCTAACATCACAATTAAAAGAACTAGAGAAGCAAGAGCAAACAAATCCAAAGGCTAGCAGAAGACAAAAAATAACTAAGATCAGAGCGGAACTGAAGGAGATAGAGACATGAAAAACCCTTCAAAAAAATCAATGAATCCAGGAGCTGGTTTTTTGAAAAAATTAACAAAATAGATAGATCACTAGCTAGACTAATAAAGAAGAAAAGAGGGAAGAATCAAATAGATGCAATAAAAAATGATAAAGGGGATATCACCACTGATCCCACAAAAATACAAACGGCCATCAGAGAATACTATAAACACCTCTACAAAATAAACTAGAAAATCTAGAAGAAATGGGTAAATTCCTGGACACATACACCCTCCCAAGACTAAACCAGGAAGAAGTTGAATCCCTGAATAGATTATAGCAAGTTCTGAAATTGAGGCAGTAATTAATAGTCTACCAACCAAAAAAAGCCCGGGACCAGATGGATTCACAGCCAAATTCTACCAGAGGTACAAAGAGGAGGTGGTACCATTCCTTCTGAAACTATTCCAAACAACTGAAAAGGAGGGACTCCTCCCTAACTGATTTTATGAGGCCACCATCATCCTGATACCAAAACCTGGCAGACACAACAAAAAAAGAAAACTTCAGGCCAATATCCCTGATGAACACTGATGTAAAAATCCTCAATAAAATACTGGCAAACTGAATCCAGCAGCATATCGAAAAGCTTATACACCACAATCAAGTCAGCTTCATCCCTAGGATGCAAAGCTGGCTCAACATAGGCAAATCGATAAATGTAATCCATCACATAAAGAGAACCAATGACGAAAACCACATGATTATCTCAATAGATGCAGAAAAGGCCTTCAAGAAAATTCAACATCCCTTCATGTTAAAAACTCTGAATAAACTAGATGTTAATAGAACATATCTCAAAATAATAAGAGGTATTTATGATAAACCCATAGTCAATATCATACTGAATGAGCAAAAGCTGAAAGCATTCCCTTTGAAAACCAGCACAAGACAAGGATACCCTCTCTCATCACTCCTATTCAACATAGTATTAGAAATTCTGAACAGGGCAATCAGGCAATAGAAAGAAATAAAGAGTATTCGAATAGAAAAAGAGGAAGCCAAATTATCTCTGTTTGCAGGTGACATGATTCTATATTTAGAAAACCCCATCATCTCAGCTCAAAAATTCCTTAAGCTGATAAGCAACTTCAGCAAAGTCTCAGCATGCAAAATCAATGTGCAAAAATCACAAGCCTTCCTACACACCAACAACAGACAAGCAGATAGCCAAATCATGAGTGAACTCCCATTCACAATTGCTACAAAGGGAATGAAATACCTAGGAACACAGCTAATAAGGGATGTGAAGGAGCTCTTCAAGGAGAACTACAAATCACTGCTCAAGGAAATAAGAGAGGACACAAACAAATGGAAAAACATTCCATCCTCATGGATAGGAAGAATCGATATCATGAAAATGGCCATACTGCCCCAAGTAATTTATAGATTCAATGCTATTCCCATCAAACTACCACTGACATTCTTCACAGAATTAGTAACTTTCCAAAATTATTGAAAAACATTAATCTACATATCCAGGACCTCAGAAAACTCTAAGGTGGAGACACACAAAAGATACGCAAACAGACATATCATAGTAAAAATACTGAAAGTCAAAAACAAGGAGAAAATCTTGAAAGCAGCAAGAGAAAAACAAGTTATTTATAAGAGAACCATAAGAAGAGCAACAGTTCACTTCTTATCAGAAACAATGGGCACCAGAAGGTAGTATGATGGTACATTCAAAGTGCTCAAAGAAAAAAAAGTCAGCCAAGAATTCTATATCCAACAAAGTTGTCTTTCAGAAATGAAGGCAAAATAAAGGCATTCCCAGATAAATCAAAACTGAGGGAATCTATTACCTGCAGATGCATCTTACGAGTCATACTAGCGTTCCGCAGACCAAAAGCAAGTAACTCCAGACAGAAATTCAAATCCACACAGAAAAACAAAACAGCAGTAAAACTAATTATGTAATTATAAAAAGTAGTACAAATGCATATTTTCTCCTTTATTCTCTTAACTGATTTTTAAAAAGCAATATAAAAAGGTATATTTGGTGTTGTTGGGCCTATAACATATAGAAATCTAATATATTTGGCAATAATAATACAAAGGAGGTACATGGAAACAAAGCTATATCGTGCAAAGGAAGTTACTGAAGATAGTAATGTGAATCCACAGGAAAAAATGAAGAGAATCAGAAATGATAAAAAGGCTAATATAACAAATGATATAAATATATACTTGTTCTTTCTTCTCTGAGCATCTTTAAAAGCCATAAAATTATAGGAAGTAATAAGTATAACAATATATTGTTGGGTTTTAACATCTGTAGATGTAATATATATAACAACAAGACTACAAAAAGGACAAAAAGGAAAAGAGTTGTATAGGAGCAATCTTTTTGTATCTCACTGGTATTAAGTTGGCACAAATCTGAAGTTGATCTTGATAAGTCAAAATAAGTATATGGTAAACCCCAGAGCAAACACTAAGGAAAAACTAAAACAGTGTCATGGGAAAACATAAAGAAATCAAAATGCTACATTAGGAAATATGCACTTAATATAAGAGAAAGTAGTGAAGAAAGAATATAAGGACAGTGGTGACAAAAAAAACCCATAAACCCACAGAACCATATAAAACATATGGGAAATAAAAAGTAAACTAGTAGACATAAATTCAAGTACAGTTGATTTTCATTGTTAGTAGTAATTACATAAAGTCATTGCAAATACTGAATTAGGAAATAATATACCATTGTTCCTAGGGGAAATACAGAGTTTGGTTCTTGTAATCCTCTGGTCGCAGTTTCAACTATCAACATATAGTCGAGTGTTATATATGTTTAATAATTATTGTTTATTCATTAACATTGAACTCAGCCAACAGTACTACAACTTATGCCTTAACAAAGCTTCTCTAACATACATATTTTCTCTGTAAGGCACATCACAGCCTTTTTGCACTTAGGAACACTGAACAGCCCCTTCACCACCATGCCTGAGGGCCATTTTAAACAGTAAAGTCACCCAAAAAATCACAAAAATGTGAAAATGTGGCATTAAGTAGATTACAAAAAAAAATGCTTATTTACAATATGAGAGCTGAAGCAAGAATGCAGAGTGTGCCTTGTTCAACCTTATCTGGGAACATGCATTTTGGGAGACTCAAATTTCTCACTAATCTGTGCATGCCAATGAATGACCACAAAAGTGCCACCAGTATTTGAGATTACAAATTAATTTTAGAGAGTAGCTGAATTTGCAAATACAAAATTCATAAAAAATGAGGTCAACTGTATATCAATAACAACATTAAATGTAAATAGATTAAATAACCCAGTCAAAAGGCAGAGGCTGTCAGACTGGATTAAATAAAAAACAAGATGTAATAGATACTCTGTAAAGTAGGCATTCTTTATATTGCAATATACAACTAGATTGAAAGTAAACAGAAAGAGATAAACTATACAAACAACAACCATGAGAAAATTGGAGTAGCCCAACTGCTGTCCGATAAAATAAATTTTAAAACAAAAATTGTTACTAGAGATTAAGAGGAACACTTTATAATGATAAAAGGTCAACCTATCATGAAGGTATAATAAATATAAACATGTATGGAAATAATAAAAGAGCACCAAAATACATGAAGCAAAAGCTGACAGAAATGAAGGGAGAAATAGACAAGTCAACAATATTAATTGAATAGTTCAACACCGTAATTTCAACAAACGGATAGAATAACTAGGTAGAAGATCAACAAGAAAAAGGAAAACTTGAATACAATAAACCAATAAAGTCTAGCAGACACCTTTAGACTGTTCCCACCTGATGACAGCAGAATATACATTTTTTTGAAATGCATATGCAGTATCGTCTAGCATAGGACATATGTTAGGCCATAAAATAAACCTCCAGTAAATTTAAAAAGACAGAAATAATGCAAAGTATGTATTCTGGCCACAATAAAATAAAATTAGAAATCAATAATAGAAAAAAAACTGGGGAAACACACAAATATGTGAAAATTAAACAGCACACTCTTATATAACCAACAAACAAGTCAAAAAAGAAACCAAAAGGAAAATCATAAAATCATCAAGATGAATAAAAATGAAACCCAAAATACCAGAACTTATGAGATGCAGCAAAAGTATTGCTTAGAGAGAAGTTTATAGTTGTAAATACCTGTATTAAGAAAGATCTCAAATCAATAACCTAACCTACTTTAAGATGCTGGAGAAAGAAGAGCCAACTCAAAGCAAGCACAATGAAGGAAATAATGAAGATTAAAGTGGAAATAAATAAAGAATTAAAACCAATTCTTCACAAACCCTTTCAAAAACTAAGAGGAAGTATTACTTCCTAACTCATTCTATGAGGCTAGTATTAGTCTCATACCATAATCACACAAAGACATCATAAGAAAAGAAAACTACAGACCAATACCACTATCTCTCATGATATGAACGCAAAATACTCAACAAGATACTAGCAATCTGAATCCAGCAACATAAAAGAAGAGTTATACACCATGGCTAAATGGGATTTATCCCTGGGATACAAGATTGGTTTAATATCTAAAAATCAATTAATGTAACACAACACATCAACAGAATAAAAAACAAAAATAGCATGATTATAACAATAGATGCAGAAAAAGCAGTTGATAAAATCCACCATCCTTTCATGTTAAAAACACTCAATAAGATAGAGCAGGAAACTTGCTCAATTTGTTAAGGGCATCTATGAAGAATCCACAGTTAATATTATACTTAGTGGGAAAAAATAAAAAGCATTCATATTGGAAAAGAAGAAACAAATCATCTCTATTCACAGATGATATAATCTTATATATAGAAAATCCTAAGAAATTCACTAAAAAGCTGCCAGCTCAGCAAGGTTGCAGGATACAACGTCAACACACAGAAATCAATGGTATTTCAGGCCAGGTGTGGTAGCTCATGTCTGTGATCTCAGCACTTTGGGAGGCCCAGACCAGCCTGGCCAACATGGCGAAACCCTGTCTCTACTAAAAATACAAAAATTAGCTGGGCATGGTAGTGTACACCTGTAATTCCAGCTACTCTGGAGGCTGAGGCGGGAGAATCGCTTGAACCCAGGAAATAGAGGTTGCATTGAGCCGAGATTGCACCACTGCATTCCAGCCTGGGTGACAGAGTGAGACTCTGTCTCAAAATTAAATAAATAAATAACGGTATTTCTATATATTTGCAATTAACAAGCCAAACATGAAATTATTTATAATAGCATCAAAAAGGAAAAAATACTAGGACTAGATTTAACAAAATAATTATAAAACTTATACTCTGAAAACTATAAAACATTATTTTTGTTTTGTTAAGGAAGATGTAAACAATGGAAAAGCATCATACGTTCATTAATCTGAAGTCCATGATCCACTCATGTTAATATTGTTAACATGACAATACTCCCCAAATTAATTACAGATTTGTCCAATCTCAAGCTAACTTCTCTGTAGACATTCACAAGTTGATTATAAAATCAATATGTAATTACAAGCGATCCAGAATAGCCAAACCAAAATTTAAAAAGAGGAACAAAGTTGGATGACTCATAGTTCCCAATTTAAAGATTTACTACAATAAATCTTGGTTACTACAGTAACCAAGACTGTGTGGTACAAATATATAAATAGACAAATGAATGAATAAAGTAAAATTGAGAGTCCAGAAATAAACCCACCTATCTATAGTCAATTTATTTCTCACAAGGTTGTCAAGACCATTCAATGAGGAAAAAATAATCTCCTTAGCAAATGGTGTGGGGGCAACTGAATATCTATATACAAAAGAACAAAATTGACCCCCTACCTCACACCACATACAAAAATTAAATGGATTGAAGACTCACATGTAAGTACCAAAAGTATAAAACTCTTAGAAGAAAACATAAGGGTAAATCTTCATGACCTTGGATTTGGCATTGGATTCTTGGATATGATATCAAAAGTACAAGCAACAAAATAAAAAAAATAGATAAATTGAACATCATCATGGTTTAAACATTTTGTGCTCCAAAGGGCTCTACCAAGAAAGTAAAAGGAAAACCCACAGAATGGGAGCAAATATTTGCAAATCATATATCTGATAAGGGGCTCATCAAATACATAAAGAATTCTTTATAACTGAGCAATAAGTCCATTAATCCACGAAAAACTGGGCAAAAAATTTAAATGAACATTTCTCCAAGGAATATGCACAAATAGCCAGTACACACATGAGAAGTGCTCAACACCACTGTTGGAAATGCAAATTCATTTTTATTTACTTCAGAAGGACCTGCTGCACAGATATGACGTGCACTGTCCCAGAAACCGTGGGGAAGGGGACAGAGACAAACATTACTGTCTTCACCTTCCAAACTAGTAGGCAGAGGATGGGATGGGGCTTGTCTGTTAGATTTGGGATTGATGGCACTTCAAGTCTTAGATAAATGGGTCTACAAAGTGTCCCTTTTTAGATGTGATTTTATTGTTAGCGCTTCCTGCCAAAGGATGTCAACATAAAAACTCTGAGCACTAGTCCCTCGATTGCAGGAATTGGCTGTGCAAACCACTAGCAAATGGTCACACAGACTCTCACATACTGCCAGTGACAGGGACCTCACTACCTAGCAAGGCCAGCCACTCTTGATCCCAGAGAAACCCAGAGAGTCCTTGACAAATGCCGCCCCTCAACCTGTGCACGCGTTGGTACTGGGAACCTCACAAGGGAAAATTACGCTATTATAACACGAAGTGCAGAAAGTGCCACTGACCTTGGGTGGAAGATTGGGAACTCTCAAAGTTACGACGATGGAAAATTCTTCAGGGAAGAGGTCACACTGGGAGAAAATCCTGGATGCTGGGAAGCTCATGGTGCGGGGGGCGGCTACTGAGAGCTGGAGTCCCCGTGCACCGTGAACCTGAACTATCCTGATCCCGCTTGTGGCGCCATCAGAAGGGACCACTTCCGCCAGGATGTCCAGGGGGCGCAGGTCTGTGGCAAAGAAATCACAGGTGGGTTAGGCCAGGACACCCCCAAAAGTGGATACCCATAACAGCCAACATGTATGGGGCATCAGCGTGGCAGGCACTTTACATAGCACTATAGCCCCTATGAGCTGTGAACCAAGGTTATCTCTGTTTCAGTGGTAAGGAAACAGAGGCACCATGAGGTGTGCCCGTGTGGCCTCCCCCCACCCCTCCTCCTGCTCCTGGGGGATCTTGCACGGCTGCCTCTGAGCTGCAGGTAACATTCCACCCATGGCTGCTGTTTTCAAGTCGGCAGCCAGGCACTGTGCAGGGTGAGCTGTGCGGGACGAAGGAAGGAACGCATGGCCCCACCGCAGCCACGGGAACCCCAAAGGAAACGCAGGAAGCGGCTGGGAATGAGACCAGGCAGGCCCAGGCTCCTGTCTGCTGGCCTCCCTTGGGTCCCTGTGCTGCCCTTGGGTGCTGTGGGAGGCTGGAGCTGCCATGGAGCTGGCAGTGCCTGCCCCTCGTCCCCCTCTGGGCGTGCCAGGGGAGTGGATAAGCTCCTGGGGAACCTGGGATTCAAAGTTGGTGGGAACATAATTGATGGGCTGGCCTGGCCTCCTCCGAGGCCAGGTGACAGGGAGGAAAATGGGAAGCATGGAGGGCATTCGGGGCTAGCAGAGGGCTGCAGATCAGATCCCTGGCCCAGGCTGAGTGGCTGGGAGCAGAGCCTGAGACTGATGCCTGGACCCTCCTCAGCTCGGCCACTGCAGCTGGCCCCAGCCTGGGTAAATGCCAGGGCGTGGCTGAATGAAGCAGGTGTTCCTGGAGCTGTCTCCCTCCGTCTGGCAGTCTTGCTGAGGGGCCTCCTGCCTCAGCCTGGCATGAGGGTGTTGGGTCAGTCCACTCTGGCACCCTCTAGGGTTCATCTTCCCCCACGTGCCCATCCTGGCCGGCATTGTGTAGGGAATGTCATGGATTCTCTGTGAAGGCCCCGGAAGGGCTTTGGTCAAACATCTCAAGCAGAGGCCTTCCTCCCCCGCCTGCCTGCACGTGGCAGGGCCCCAGTGAGCAGCTGGAGAGCAGGACTCCACTCCAGGCCAGGAGAAGGCACAGCCCTTCCTTGCACCGCCACGTGCATCGCAGTGCCACAGCTGCAGTGAGACTTCGATCCTCTGTGTCCTCCAGAGAGTGTGAGCACCTGGGATGGAGCAGTTCTGCAGAAGAGCCTACCCTGGAAAAGCATCCTGGTCCGCACACGCGCACACAGGGTGTGAAACGCAGGGTGTGATGGGCACTTCTTTCTTAGAAAAACCGGATGTGATGCAGCCGTGCACGTCCGCAAGTGTGCACACAGGGTGTAACGGGCACTTACAAAAACCGGATGTGACGCAGACGTGCAGTGCAGGAACAGCCGGCAAAGCAGCCGTGAGCACCCTGGCTGCAGGACGCTGCCTGGGCCTGGCCCAGGCACAGAGTGGGAAGATGTGGCAGGACACACCATGGGCCAAGGATGGAAAGGATGCAGAGGGTCCTGGCTGGGGCAGGGGTGTGTGTGTGTGTGACCCACAGCACCAGAGAGTTTGGGGACATGCAGATGGAGGGAGCACAGTGAAGAAAGTGTGGCCTGCTTTAGGACAGGAGAATGTATTATTATTGTTACTATTTATGCAATTAAACACAAAAGGTAGAGTGTGAGGAGGCTTTGCCGCTTCTTGGAAAGACCCTGAGTTATAAAACATGCCACGACATAGGGACAGCAACAGTGGACACTGTGTGTAGAGAGGTCTGTGTACAGGGACCACCCCCGATGGAGGCTGCTGTGTGTGTTTAGGGGGTCCCAGGCTGACTCTGGGAGGATTCTGGCATCTTGGTGTGGGGGGATTCTGTGCCTCAGGGCTCTGATGTTGGCCCAAGCCTCAGGCTGGCGGAGGTTGGGGATGAGACTCCACATACTGTGGCGTTGCGTCCTGGGTCCCCTGGAAAGAATGGGTCTCTAAGTAAACCCCATGCACCCTACTGCCCCTCCCCCCAGTCTCAGAGAGACACTGCTGCACAGCACTGCCTGGTGCTGGGCTCACCCCTGGGGGTTTAGCTTGAGCACGACCAGGGGCCACCTCCTCAATGAGGAAACGTGGGGGCCACCATCCAGAAGGTGCCCTGCCCAGCACTCAGGATGAGCCTCTGCCCTGCTGAGCCCCGGGATAGACAGTCAGCCCATCGCTCGCTGGGCTTTGGCAATCAGGAAACAGAATCCTGACCATCCCAGCAAGAGCCTCTCCCTCCACTGTTTAATTAAAATAGCCTCTTCCTGGCTCCGGACCCCACGCCTGCAGTGTTGTGTGCCTCTCAGCCTCCTGGGAGTGGACACCCAAGGGCAGATGAGTCCCTGACACAGCCTCGGCAGTGCTGGGTGGGGGCCTCTGGATGTTGACCTGCCCTCACAGCCACCTTGTGGGGCATCCTCCTTGACTCTATCATCGGTGAGACATGGGTCCAGAAGCCAGGAATTATGGAATTACAGAAGGGGCTGCAGAGATAAGCTCGTTCACAGCCTCAGGCACAGGCCAGGTATAGCCACTGAGGATGGAGAAGGAGGGAACCGGGCGCTGCTTTGAAAAGAAGAAAGGTATTGAATCCAACATAGGAGCTTTGCCTTGAGAAACTAGAGAAAGATGAGGAAATGGAACCCACAGCAAGCAAAGGGAAGGATGGGGCAGGAGTCCACGCAATTGAAAACAAAAGGAAAATAGAGGAAACTGATTAAACCCAAGCTGGTTCTTTGAGATCCATCAAATTGATAAACAATATGGAGAACAAAAGGGGATATTGCTAAACAATTGTCAGAAATTAAAAGGCTGATAAGGGAACTCCATAAACAACACCACGTGTTGTTTATCAAAACCTCAGATAATGTGGACCAATTCCTTGATAGGCGCAAATACCAGAACTTATTAAAGAAGAAAAGATAATTGGGAGGTCCAATATCTAATAAAGGACACCTTCCAACACAGAAAAACTACAGTTTCCTGGAAAATACTACCAACCCTTTAAAGAAGAAAAAATGTCAATTCTACATCATCTCTTTCAGAAGATAGAATAGGAGAAAACACCAACTCTTTTCATGAAGGCAGTGTTACCAAACCAGGCAAAGGCATTGCAATAAGAGAAAACTACAGACCAACCAAAATCCTCAATAAAATATTAGCAAATACAATCCAGCAACATGTAAAAAGGACAATACGTTGTAGAGATGGGGTCTGGCTATGTTGCCCAGGCTGATCTCAAACTCCTGGCCTTAAATAATCCTCCTGCCTTGGCCTCCCAAAGTGCTGGAATTACAGGCATGAGCCACCACATCCAGCCTAGAGGGGAACATTTCAGACCAGATAACACTAGTCTGGAAAAACCAGCACCAACACGATTCTTAGTGGGGAAACCCCTCCCTCTAAGATCAGGTGGGTGTTAATGCACATGCCAGCCTCCTTGCTCTGTCTCCTGGGAGGGCTGGGAAAGCAACACCCCAGTAGTGTGAGCACACCTTGCTCCAGATTTTGGTTTCTAAATGCCTTCGTCCACCAAGAGGAAGCAGGGCTTCCTAGAGAAGCGTCTGATTCCAGGGATGAAACAGGGCAAATCTGAGATGAACTTGGACCCAAAAGTAAGAAAGGTCAGGGAGGGACAGCGTGTTGAAAGGGCACCAGGGCCAAAACGAAAGGACTTGAGGGCCGAAGTTGGAACCACTGCAACCACAAAATACATAGTGATCATATTGGATTATAGCTCAAGTAATAGATAAACATTCTTTAGTCCACACATAGATAAATAAATAAGGAAGCAAATAGACACACAGAAGAGCGGGACAGCTCCTCCTCCCGGGAGAATTTCAATTAGTAAGTGTGGAAGGAACAAGGCAGGGAGGAGAATCCTCAACAGAGCCCCACAGGGACCGTGCGGGCGAGGCCCCCGGAGGGGCACCAGCACTGCCGGGCAAACGCCTGGGCAGACGCAGGACAGCTGCCAAGTCTCAGACATGACCAATTACAGAGGGAAACGGCGGCACCGCGAGGGATGGGCCGCGGCCGTGTCACCTCCATGCCCCACGCACACTGCTCCTGTGGGATTCCTCCCCCAACGCGATGCCCACTCTGACCACGAGGAAACCTCAAGCAAGTCCACGTGGAGGGGCATTCTACAAAACACCCAACCGGTCAAGGTCGCTGAGGCCAAGGAGAGATTGGGCAACCGTCACAAACCAGAGAAGTCGAGGAGACCTTTCAGCCAACGCCATGTGGGGTCCTGAGCAGGACCCACCGGAAGTTGGTGCAGCTGCCTAAAGACCGTCCTGGCTGAGAAGAAACAGAGCAGCGCTGCTTTCTCAGAGCTGGGAACCAACCTGCGGTGGTGTCGGGAAGCTGGCAAAGGGCGATGTGAACCCCGCTTTTCAGCCACTATTCCCTAAAACCATTCCACGAGGTCAAGCCACACCTCACAAGCAAAGGCTGCTGAGTGCCCAGTGCTGGGCACCTGCTGTCCTGTGCTACCCTCGCCACCCCCCATGCTCCACCTGCCCCAGGCCCAAGTCCACAAGAAACACTTCTGCCGTGCTTGCCTTCCCATCCCGGGTTCTGCTCCCGTGCCCACGTCCTCATCCCAGGTTCTGCCATTGTGTCTGCTTGCTGTGGATTGAATTGTGTCCCTCAAAAGGTGCCGAAGTCCTGACCGCTGGTACATGTGAATGTGACCCTATATGGAAATAGGGTCTTTGTAGGTGATCAAGTTAAGAGGAGGCTGTTAGGATAGGCCCTACTGCAATAATGCTTTGTATCCTTATAAAAAGGGGAGATTTGGACACACACACACACACACACACACACACACACACACACACACACACACACACGGAGAAGCTGTGTGAAGATAAAGGCAGAGCTCAGGTGAGGCCACTGTAAGCCAAGGACCCCAAAGATAGCAGCAGCCCACAGGAGTGAGGGGAGCGGGGTGAGACAGTGCCCCTCGCAGCCTCAGAAGGAACCCATGCTGTCCACTGTCCACACCTCGATCTCAGACTTCTGGCTTCCAAAACCATGAGACACGGAATTTCTGTTGTGTGACCAGCCAGTTTGTGGTACTGTTTGTCATGGCAGCCCAAGGAAAAGAATACATTACAGCATACAAACCATGACTCACATTATCTTTACTTAGAACCCAAACAAACCTCTCTCCCTAAGCTTTCAATCACAGAGGCACATGATCTTGTTCAGCAGCCTAGAAAACCAAGGCCCAGCGGAGCCACCCGTAGGCACCCACTCCCCATAGCCTGGCACACACACACGGCAGAGCCACCCACAGGCACCCACTCCTCATAGTCCAGCACACACACGGCAGAGCCACCCGCAGGCACCCACTCCCCATAGCCCGGCACACACGTGGACCATGCCACCCTCCACGTGCGCCTGGGGAGCAAAGCAGCACAGCCTGAACTGCCCCTCAGCTCTTCCTCCTGAGTCTAAAACACGCACATGCGCCCCAGGCCAATTCCAAGTTTTGTAAACTGAGCAACAGCTCTTGGGAAACAAAAACACAGCTACTGTTTATTCTCCTGGAGCTGGCTGTACACCCCAACAAGGAAGGGAGGGCTTGCTGAGCCTCCTGTCTGGACAACATGCACCAAGGAGGAGTATAAAAGCCCCACAAACCCGAGCACCTCACTCACTCGCTCACCCACTCCCTCCCATCTCCCCCAGCTCAACCCCCAGCACAGCAGCATCCACCATGTCCGTCTGCTCCAGCGACCTGAGCTACAGCAGCCGCGTCTGCCTTCCTGGTTCCTGTGACTCTTGCTCCGACTCCTGGCAGGTGGACGACTGCCCAGAGAGCTGCTGCGAGCCCCCCTGCTGCGCCCCCAGCTGCTGCGCCCCGGCCCCCTGCCTGAGCCTGGTCTGCACCCCAGTGAGCCGTGTGTCCAGCCCCTGCTGCCCAGTGACCTGTGAGCCCAGCCCCTGCCAATCAGGCTGCACCAGCTCCTGCACGCCCTCGTGCTGCCAGCAGTCTAGCTGCCAGCTGGCTTGCTGTGCCTCCTCCCCCTGCCAGCAGGCCTGCTGCGTGCCCGTCTGCTGCAAGACTGTCTGCTGCAAGCCTGTGTGCTGTGTGCCCGTCTGCTGTGGGGATTCTTCATGCTGCCAGCAGTCTAGCTGCCAGTCAGCTTGCTGCACCTCCTCCCCCTGCCAGCAGGCCTGCTGTGTGCCCATCTGCTGCAAGCCTGTCTGCTCTGGGATTTCCTCTTCGTGCTGCCAGCAGTCTAGCTGTGTGAGCTGTGTGTCCAGCCCCTGCTGCCAGGCGGTCTGTGAGCCCAGCCCCTGCCAATCAGGCTGCATCAGCTCCTGCACGCCCTCGTGCTGCCAGCAGTCTAGCTGCCAGCCGGCTTGCTGCACCTCCTCCTCCTGCCAGCAGGCCTGCTGCGTGCCCGTCTGCTGCAAGACTGTCTGCTGCAAGCCTGTGTGCTCTGAGGATTCCTCTTCATGCTGCCAGCAGTCTAGCTGCCAGCCGGCTTGCTGCACCTCCTCTCCCTGCCAGCAGGCTTGCTGTGTGCCTGTCTGCTGCAAGCCTGTGTGCTGCAAGCCTGTCTGCTCTGTGCCCATCTGCTCTGGGGCTTCCTCTCTGTGCTGCCAGCAGTCTAGCTGCCAGCCAGCTTGCTGCACCTCCTCCCAAAGCCAGCAGGGCTGCTGCGTGCCCGTCTGCTGCAAGCCTGTGAGCTGTGTGCCTGTTTGCTCTGGGGCTTCCTCTTCATGCTGCCAGCAATCTAGCTGCCAGCCAGCTTGCTGCACCACCTCCTGCTGCAGACCCTCCTCCTCCGTGTCCCTCCTCTGCCGCCCCGTGTGCAGGCCCGCCTGCTGCGTGCCCGTCCCTTCCTGCTGTGCTCCCACCTCCTCCTGCCAACCCAGCTGCTGCCGCCCAGCCTCCTGCGTGTCCCTCCTCTGACGCCCCGTGTGCTCCCGCCCAGCCTGCTGAGGCCTCCGCTCAGGTCAGAAGCCCAGCTGCTGATGGACACGCCCCCCAGTGCCAGCCAGGCTCAGGTCCCACCTGAAAGCTGATAGTCGCGTCCTGAATTGCTCCTGCACTTTGACCATTTCCTGGTGTCTGCTGTTGAGCTGGACAATGGAAGAACTGAAAGTCTATACTCAATGCTGCAGCCCTCTTGCGGGGGGAGGGGGGCGCTTCTAGAAAGTTCCCATGGCAGTGGCCTCCCCTCCATATCTCCCACCTCTCATGAGGGTCAGTTCAGCCTTGACCCGTGAGGTCTCTGTCCTCCTGGCTCAGAGCCGCAGAGCCTTCTTTGGACGCCCTCAAGCTGACCAATAAAGGCCCTGAGACTGCAATGGCGCTGACACCCAGGTGTGTTGATTAATGCCTTGGCTGGAGCTCACGGCCATGGTTTTCTCCTTTGTGCACAACCCTCTGCTGTCCTTCAGGCCCCTGAGTGTTTTCCTGTGCCCAGGGGCGTGTGGTTCCCAGGGGTCCAGGCTAGACGGACATGGACGCGGGGAGCCTTGCAGCCCTTTGGCCATTTCGGGCCCTTGGGTTTGTCCCTAACCCTCCTGTGTTGTTAGTCGTGTCATAGTTCTTTTTGCTGATTTGCTTTTTAAATTATCCTTCTGCTGCACAATACTTGTCAAATAAGAATGGTGTCTTCTAGCGCCATGCTTGCCCAGAGTGTGTCCAAATGCCTCCCTAGCTTCAAAATCAGTAGTCTTCATCGACATTGCCTAAAACCTCTTGTGCCCTGTGCAGACATCACTGGCATGGTGGGAGGAACACAGACAGGCGATTGGAATTGGGTCTCTGTCGCTTCGCTTCCACCCTGTGTGAGCAGAATCATCTCCTCGACCCTCCGGCCTCTCTAAGGTCAGGGAAGTAGGACTCCCTCTTTCAGGTTTCCAAATGGAGTGGCAAGAACGACAGACAGAGCACGTGTGACCACCATGAGCCCAGGGCCAGCGGACTGCCCAGAGCAGGATGGTCTGAGGAGTTTTGGGCATTTTAAGAAGTCTTTAAAAATTATATTTGGAATAATGATGTGTTGTAACCACTGGAAGAAGTGCCAACTATTCCAATGGTTATAAAACATACTCATAAAGCAATGACGATAAGATCAGAAAGAATTTCCATGCACAGGTGTCAGAGGGTGGCCCGGGAACTCAGCCGCAGTGGAGGTGGAGTTGTGAGGACAGACCCAGAGCACTGGCCACACGGAGTCACAGTCCCGGAGTGGAAGGGAGTGCATAACTCATGGGTGAACAGACACACGGATGTCCCAGGGTGGGTGAGGGGGCATAACTCATGGGTGAACAGACACACGGACGTCCCAGGGTGGGTGAGGGGGCAAACCTCATGGGTGAACAGACACACGGACGTCCCAGGGTGGGTGAGGGGGCAAACCTCATGGGTGAACAGACACACGGACGTCCCAGGGTGGGTGAGGGGGCAAACCTCATGGGTGAACAGACACATGGATGTCCCAGGGTGGGTGAGGGGGCAAACCTCATGGGTGAACATGCCCATGGTTTTCAGCAACACAACTCAATGTGTTGATTGCAACCCATGGAAGCAGAGAGTTAAAAATAACTCCAGAGAAGGGGACTCTGTGGAAGAGTCTTCATTAAACTACAGTGCTGTTTCCCTTCACGTGAGCTGAGAACACTGCTGGTTGAGGTCCTTTGTGTCTTTACCAAACCTCACTCTGTCTTCAGAAAGTCATTTTCCAGGAGGTGTATAGAAAAGTTGAGAAACCACTAAAAACCAAGCCGACTTAAGGGATATTTATACAAAATCCCATCCAACAACAATGGGATGCATGTTGTTTAAAGTGCACGTGGAACATCCACCAACATAAACCACCGGAGAGGCCTGAGAGCAAGTCTCAGTGTCCTCAGGAGGGATGAAATCACAGGAGGGCTGAGCATGCTGCTTGGCCACACAGAATTGGAAATCATTAACAGAAAGACACTTAGAAAACTGCCACATACTTGGAAATTAAATAACACACTTTAAGATCTATGAGTAAAAATATAAATCACAATGGAAATTATGAAATATCTGGAATAAAATGAAAATGAAATCACCCCATATCAATACTTGTGGGATGCAGCTAACAAAGCATGTAGAGGAAAATGCATAGTAATTTGTTTTATTAGAGAAGAAGGCCTAAAATCAGTTGTCCGAGCTTCCAGCTTAAGAAGCTAAAGAAGCATATGTTGAACCCAAAAATAACTAGAAATAATAAAATAATCAAGAATTTAAAAACTCCACTGTGTTTGTCCATTTTGCACTGCTGTAAAGGAATACCCGAGACTGGGCAATTTATGAGGAAAGGCCCACGGTTATCTGGCTCCTGGTTCTACAGGCTGTACAAGAATGGCACCTGCTGAGCTTCTGCTGAGGTCTCAGGAAGCTTTACTCATGGTGGAAGGTGGACGGGGAGCAGGCATCACATGGTATGAGGGGAGCAAGAGAGACAGAGAGGAGGGAGTGCCAGGCTCTTGTAAACAACCAGCTGTCCATGAAGTAACAGAGCAAGACTTCACTCATTATTGTGGGGGTGGCACCAAGCCACTCATGAGGGAACCGTCCCCATGACCCAATCACCTCCCACCAGGCCCTGCCTCCAACACGGGATCATGGTTCACCATGAGATTTGGAGGGGACACATATCCACCATATCACCTACCAAATAGAAAGTGGACAAACAGGGAAATAAATAAAACCAAACCTAGTTTTTTTAAAGACAAATGAAATTGGCAAATTTCTAACTTTACTGGTCATTATAAAACAAGAGAACAAATAAATTACCAATATCGGATGTTATGGTTTGGCTGTGTCCCCACCCAAATCTCATCTTGAATTCTCACATGTTGTGGGAGGCACCTGGTGGGAGGTAATTGAATCATGGGAGTGGGTCTTTCCTGTGCTGTTCTCATGATAGTAAGTAAGTCTCACAAGATCTGATGGTTTTATACAGGGGAGTTTCCCTGCACAAGCTCTCTTCTCTTGTCTGCCACCAAGTGAATTGTGCCTTTCACCTTCCACCATGATTGTGAGGCCTCCTCAGCCATGTGGAACTGTGAGTCCATTAAACCTCTTTCTTTTGTAAATTGCCCAGTCTTGGGTATGTCTTTATTAGCACCATGAAAATGAACTAATACATCAGGAATGAATAAAAGGTTGCCACTACAGAATCTGTAGATATTTAAAGGAAACCAAACAAATAATGCAAACAACTCTATGTCAATACATTCAACAGCTTAGATGAAATAGGCAAATGACTGGAAATGCATCATTTATGAAAAGGGATACAAGAAGAAATAGAAAATCGGAATAGCCCTCTATCAATTGAAGAGACTGGACTCATAATTAAAACCCTTCCCACAGAGACAATGCCAATCCCGAATGGCTTTGCCATTGAATTCTACCAAGCATTTAGGGGAGAAATAATGCCAATCTAACCCAAACTTTTCCAGAAAACCGTGGGGTAGACACAGTGTCGGCGAGGGTGCTAGGGATTAGGGGACGGAGGCTGAGGCCTCACGGGTGGCAGGGATGCCCTTGGTGGGCTCTGGCCATGGACACAGACTCCTGGGATGAGAGGGGGACTCATGGAGGAACACCCACGCCTTGACCCTGAGATGGCCTTGCAGGGAGGGTAACTGAAAATTTACCCACTGGGGACAGTTGCCTACTTACTAAAACAGTTCCAGCCACCACCGCAGCCCCTGGAAGGCCATCCCCCCAGAAAATCCCCCAGGTCTCAGCAGGGCCTTGTCCACCTGTGCCCTCCAGTGTCGCCCATGTCAACCTCACCTAAGAGGGGCCTGACGCACGGTCCTGCAGGTGCGGACTCTGGGTCCTGAAAGCCCATGCGGAACCTGGTGCCCCCAGAGGAGGGCCTGGGGCAGTGCCAGTTTTGGGGAATCATGTGCATCCATCCACCCACTCCATGATGCTTTCGTCCTGATCGAGTCCCTTGTCTCCTGCGCAGGTGCAGCAGCCCCTCCCTCTCCCCCCGCATTGCTGCTAAGCGGGCAGAACTCTCGGGCGGGCGGCACACAGGGAGGGTGACCAGGCCTGGAGGCTGCGGTGCCCGGACCCCAGGCCAGCTTCCTGGAAGGTGACCCTGCAGGGTGGGCTCTCCCAGGTGGGACAGTGGGTGGGACAGTCCTGGGGCCTGGAGAGCCCCACAGCCCAGGGCACGGCAGCCAATGACCAGGCTCAGGAAGACCCAGGCATGGAGGCTGAGCCGGGACTGAGCCTTCCTGGGCGTGGCTGTGAGTTCCACCTGGTGACCCCCTGGAGGAGTTAGGCCACTGTCCCCCGTGACTTCTAGGTTAAGTCACTCATTCATAGAAACAGTCATGGCTAGAGACCAATCTGAGCTCAAAACCATGTATCCCCAGGAGCACTACAGAAAAAGAGAATCAGGCGACCAAGGGGAGTTTATTGGGGAGCAGGAGGAGGTGCTGACAGGTTCAAGTCGAGGCCAAGTGACATGGGGCAGAGAAGCTGGGAGGGAGGACAGGGGACCCAACAGGCAGGTGGGCCCCTGCTGGGAGGCAGGAGCTGGGGAGCTTCGAGGATGGAGATTCCTGGGAGTATGGAGGGGGGGGTCACCTCAGCACATGGGGGCCCCGTCCCAAGCGGGGGCAACCTCCTAACCCGAGTCAGGACCAGTTGGCCCTGGGGGATGTGCACATCAGCAACTGGACTCCTGGCCTGAGCAGAGGCCTCAGCAGGCCAGGGGGGAGCACGCGGGGCGGCAGAGGAGGGACACGCAGGAGGCCGGGCGGCAGCAGCTGGCCTGGTAGGAGGAGGCAGGGGCACAGCAGGAGGAGATGGGCAGGCAGCAGGCGGGCCTGCATATGGGGCGGCAGAGGAGGGACACGGAGGAGGAGGGTCTGCAGCAGGAGGTGGTGCAGCAAGCCGGCTGACAGCTAGACTGCTGGCAGCATGAAGTGGAAGCCCCAGAGCAGACGGGCACACAGCAGATGGGTTTGCAGCAGACAGGCTTGCAACAGACAGGCACGTAGCAGGACTGCTGGCAGGGGGAGGAGGTGCAGCAAGTCGGCTGGCAGCTAGAATGCTGGCAGCATGAAGAGGAATCCTCAGAACAGGTGGGCACACAGCACACGGGCTTGCAGCAGACAGGCACACAGCAGGACTGCTGGCAGGAGGAAGAGGCACAGCAAGTTGGCTGGCAGCTAGACTGCTGGCAGCATGAAGAGGAATCCTTAGAGCAGGTGGGCAGGCAGCACACAGGCTTGCAGCAGACGGGCACGCAGCAGGCCTGCTGGCAGGGGGAGGAGGCGCAGCAAGCCGGCTGGCAGCACGAGGGCGTGCAGGAGCTGGTGCAGCCTGATTGGCAGGGGCTGGGCTCACAGGCCGCCTGGCAGCAGGGGCTGGACACACAGCTCACTGGGGTGCAGACCAGGGTCAGGCAGGGGGCGGTGCCGCAGGGGGGCTCACAGCAGCTCTCTGGGCAGTCGTCCACTCGCCAGGAGTCAGAGCAAGCGCTGGAGCAGACGGACATGGTGCACGCGGCCATGCTGGGGTGGGGAAGACGTGAGCTGGGAGCTGGGGGAGGTGTGAGTGAGTGAGTGTGTGAGTGAGTGAAGGAGGGAGTGAGTGAGTGAGGTGCTCAGGGCTGTGGGGCTTTTAAATCCCTCCCTGGCGTGTGTTGTCCCGACAGGAGGCTCCACAAGCTTCTCTTCCTTGTTGGTGTTTAGAGCTGGTGGCTGGAGATGCGTCATTCATGCTGGTTTATCTGTTTGTTTTTCCCTCATTAAACTTGTGTGTATGTTGCAGGGCCGTGTTTCTTCATCGGTTCTTATTTTAGCCCCAGAAATGTGGTGGAAAATATTTCAAGCAAACTTTTGTTGAGTAGAGGTTTTAGAGATGAAGACTTCTCTAAAGGGAGGAATTCTAGTTTCACCTATCCTGTGTTTGGACTGATTGGATATATTTTATTACTTTTAGCATATTAAAATATAAATAGGTAGAAAAATATGCATTTCTTATAAAATGCAGCTGGCACAGAGGGTACGATGAAGCTAAGTGGCCCTCTCTTCAACCCCTTGTGCCTCGTAAGGGGAATGCTCAGAGATTTGGTATCTGGTGGATCTGTGCTTTATCCTTGTCTCTTCAGCTCTTCCATGCCACCCTCAGAGCCCTCTCTCTGTTTTATTTGAAGCTGCGCTCTGGGTTTTCTCCATTTTTATTTCCTCATGGTGACAGATCAAGTACTTTTTCACATATGGTGATTTTAGGACATACATTTTAAGATTTCTTTCTTGCCTAAAAATGTACTCAACTTTACCCTCACACTTATATGATAGTTTAGCTGGGTATATAATTCTGGTTTTAAGTCAGAATTATTATTATAAATAATAACAAAAAATCTGTTTTCTCAAAATGATGAACCTGTGTCACCATTTTTCTGTAGTGTCCAGCGTTGCTGATGAGAGACTGAGGTTGGTCATTTGTCATTTTTTATAGTTTGTCTCTCTCTCTCCGTTTAACTCTCTGGGAACATTTGGTTTTCTTTTTATTCTTCTTTTGTTTCTATGCGTGTGCATTATTTTACTTTCTGTGGTTAGAATTCATTGAGCCTTTCAATGTGGAGACTCAGGAAGTGTTTTGCGCTCTTAAAAATAACTCATCTCTCAAGGTCTTTCCTTTTGTGACTTTAATTTTGTCTCACGATGAATGAAATACATTTTTGGCTCACTGTAATGATGTTATGTTGAGCATTTAAACGTTTTTCCCCTCGTTTCACTGGACATCAGTTAAGCTCTGCTCATTGGTGGCAGTTCATTTGATTTTCTGAGTAAAAGACTATTTTATTCCAGGGCATTGGGGTCCTGATCCAGTTTACATTCTAATTTGTTTCCATCTGTTTCTCTTTTCTACAAATATATAAAGGATTTTAAAGAGCCTCCCTTTTTGTTAGACAATTTTGATTTTATTTTTTATAACTCTTTGAATATCCTTTCAGTGATTATTAGTAGAGGTTGTGCGAGAACTGTGTGCTTAACCCACTTTCTGGGACTGAAGGACTCGATGCTCCTTTCAGGAAATGACAGGAAAGCCAGGAAGGCTAGGATGACGTCATATCAGCGGGTGTGCTACAGACATGCACGGCGCAGGTGCGGTCTCCACATCAGCCACCGCGTGAGGGGTGACTCTGCAGCCCATTTTGACAGTTGCAGAAATGATGAGAGAAGATAAGTAACCTTGAAAGAGGACAGCTGGCCGGCAGTGAACCTGACAACCGCGAGCTCTCACTCCTTTCCCTCACGGCCATACATGGCTCCGTTCTGTCACACAGCTCCCAGAAGAGTGCGTGCTTCCTGAGTGGCAGGCAGGGAGGCAGGTGGTCCTGAGCCAGCGGGATGTGGTAAGGCTGACATGGCTTCTGGGACAAGCCCTGGGGCCTGTATGATAATTTGCTTTAGTTTTCCCATCGCTATCTCTGGCAGCCTCCTTAATCGAATGGGTGTGGTGATTCCTTGTCTCTTTATTCCTATTTGTGATCCACGCCCTCTGTCGCTCCCTTCTCCTGGTGTCTGGACCACCCATCACTGTCCAAAGTGTCTTTCCACAGTCATTGCTGTGCCCACAACAGCTCCAGGGTCTCAGTGTGCCTGATCTAAGTCCACGCCCTGCGCTCAGTGGAGACGTGTCTTTTTGGATCATGGAAATTTTCACTGGGGGCCACCATGGCAGTTTCCACGGACAATTGAATGATCACACCAATTTCTTTCTTTCTCTCTTTCTTTCTCTTTCTTTCTTTTCTTCCTTCTTTCTTTCTTTTCTTTTTTGACACACAGTCTCACTCTGTCACCCAGGCTGGAGTGCAGTGGTGCTGCAGGCCCCACCTCCCGGGTTCAAGCGATTCTCCTCCCTCAGCCTCCCGAGTAGCTGGGATTACAGGTGTGCACCACCACATCCAGCTATTTTTCTTTCTTTCTTTTTTTTTTTGTATTTTTAGTAGAGATGGGGTTTGGACATTTTGGCCAGGCTGGTCTCGAACTTATGGCCTCAAGTGATCCATCCGTTTCAGTCTCCCAAAAGTGCAGGCATTACAGATGTGAGCCACTGCACCCGGCCAGATCACATCATTTCTTAAATCAAGCAGACACTCTGGGGATCTGAGTGAGCTGAGCTGCAGGGATTAAACAGCCCTGGCTGGGGGAGGGAGGTGCTGGGAGGGGATGTGAGTCTGGAGGGCAGGGTGGCCCACGGCCGTGTCTTCTGCAAGTGACACACGTTTGGATTCTTCTTTTCCAAAATGTAGTCTTTTGTTTTATTTGACTCCCTTTCATCGTGGCTGGCTGCCCAGCACAACTCTGGAGACGCGATGACAGCAGCCCTCTGGTCTTGTTTCCAAAGTTAACAGAAGCACCTCCTGCAGCTCCGCACTAAGCCGGTGTTGGCTGGTTTGTCGCAAAGCCTTGGTCTCGTGCATGCAGTGTTTTTTCACTCTAGTTTACCAAGAATTTTGCCTCAGGCTTTTAAAGAAGGAGTGAGTTTGTTCATGTATGTGTGTGTGTGAATGTGTGTGTATTAATCTACTGAGTGTTCCAGTGGCTTTTCTACTTCTATTTTATGAGTATAGTTAATGATACCCTTTGTAACTTGAGTGATCTAAGATATACATTACTTGATAATGGCTCATTATCCCTTTTTCCCCAGCTTTATTGAGATGTAATTGACAAATAAGAATTATATAAATTCAGGATGTCTTGATACATGTACACATTGTGTGATGATTACCACGGTCAAGCTAATTAATATGTCCATCACCCATGCAGTTACCTTTATTTTGTGATGAGACATTTAAGGTGGACTCTCTTAGCAAATTTCAGTGTTACTGCGTCACATTCTGTGTTACAGTCAACTGTCCCCGTGCTGCACATGAGGTTTCCAGAACTGACTCATCCTGCACAGCTGAAGCTGTATCCTGTCATCAACATCAAAGTGGATAAAGCACACAGTTCTTGCACACCTGTATTAATAATCGCTGAAAGGATATTTAAAGAGTTATAAAAAATGAAAACTCCCTGCACCCCCGCCCCTGTGAACCCCCACTCTACTCTCTGCTTTGCCGAGCTTGGCTTTTTTAGATTCCACATATAAGCGAGGTCTGCAGTATTTGTCTTTCTGTGGCCTGGGTCACTTCACCTAGCATAGTGTGTGCAGGTTCATCCATGTTGCCACTAATGACAGGATCTCCCTCCTTTCTATGGCTGAATCGTATTCCATCGTGTGTATACACCACATTTTCTTTATCCACTCATCTGCTGATGGGCACTTATGTTGCTTCCATATCTTGGCTGTTGTGACTAGTGCTGCAGTTAGCATGGCAGTGCAGGTATCTCTTTGAGATCTGGCTTTAATTTGTCTTGTATATACAAGATTGCTCATCACATGGTAGTTCTATTTTTAATTTGCTGAGGAGCTTTGACACTGTCTTCCATAATGGCTGCATGTAACAGCTTAGTTTTTCTTTAACATAGGCACATAGAATCTCTTGCTTTATCTTTTTAAATGGGATTGATTTACAGTCCTCTCTCCCTCTCTCTCTCTCTCACACACAATTATTCCTGGTTTTGGCATCAGGGTCTCACCAGTCTTATATTAGAGGAATCCAGAAGATCTCTGTCTTCTTCTGAGCTCTGGAATATTTCAAGTATCACAGGAAGGTCTTATATTGAAGGCTGATGATATACACCTTTAAAACATCTGAGTCTGCCTTCTGAAGAATATCTTTCAATACCATTTCCATATTTTCCTGGACATCATTGTATTAAAAGTTTCATTTTGTTATTCAGTGTTGGTAATTTATATTTTTTAGAACACAGTCCATTCATTTATATTTTCAAATTTTAGGATAAACATACCCATGCTACTTTCTTTTACATAAAAACAAAAATCTCTCAATCTGTGGGCATGTTTCTTTTTCAATCTTTAATGTCTGCTTATTTTTATTAGACTGTATTTTTATTTTCTTTAGATTTTCCTTGATGAGCATCTGCGGATTTTTGTGGACATTTGAAAAGAGGGGGTCGTGCTCCTTCTTGTTAGAGATTGTTGAGTAAAAGTTTCAGAAAGCGTCATGGGTGGTAAACTTTCTGGATCCCTGTTGTTTAAGAACAGCCCTCCTGCTGACACCTGCCACAGCAGAGTCTAGGTGCAGAATTTCTTCCCTCCACCTTAGTAGAGGTTGGGCCACCAGTGTGTCTCAGATTTGCATAACTTTAATCTTCTTGTGAAGCTTTTCCTCTTTCCAGAACCTGGCACTATTCTCTCCTTGTACTTCATTCATTTCACCAGACCCCTCCCTAGTCACTGTCATCAGCTGTGTTCATCCCCTCGGTCCCATCTTCTTTTAGTTCAAGGAACTTTTATTCCCATATGGGTTTGATGATTTTCTTTCATTCTTGGCTTCTCTCCCCACTGTGATCCCAGAATCACAGACCCTGAGTCTCCTGGGTTCATCTCCCTTAGACCTCAGGCTTTTCTTGGCTTCATCTCTTTGTCCTTCTGCATTGGGTTTCGGTCATTTTCTGAACTGGGGGTCATGGTGTCAGCTCTTCTGCCTCAGGGTCTGTTATGAGGACTGCCATTGAATTCCATATGTTTGGAGTGTCACGATTTCAGTCTCCAGGAATCCAAGGTGTTTTCCTTTCTTCTCCTTCTCCTTTTTGGTAGCACTCTCTTCTTGTTTCATGGAGTAACGGCCTCTTTGTTTCATGCATTATTGTTTGTTTAGACTTTGCTTCTCTGTCATGCTGTGATTTCCTCATGCGTCTGAGGACCCTTAGTTGTTGTTCACGTTTTTAAGTGAGGGTCTAAACTGTTTGGCTTTCATTGCTGAAAGGTTCTCTGCATGTAGACACATGTCTTCTTCTCACAGAGCTGACACTGGGGCTCTCAGGGTGGGGCCTTGTCTGCCGCTGGCTGAGTACAGGGGCTTTGGTTCATTTTGGCATCCAGAACTTCCTGGGGTGTGGTCTCTTCCTCTCCATCCTAGGACCCAGGCTGGGAGCCTCCTGGGCCACCCCTGGCCTGCCTGGCTCTCCTGCTGGACTCAGGGCACCAGGCGGTTCTTCTTTAGAACTCAACCCTCAGTTAAAGACGCCTGAGTGCCCATGGCTGTCCTCATGTGCTGTCCCTGTGTCAGGGTCTCTGGGAAAAGCCATTTGTCTTCAGTCCTGCTTCTGCCTTTCTTTCTGTTGAATTTTACAGTCAAGAAAACCCGATCTTTTTGTCTTGTCTGTCGCAGAAAATCCTTACTGACCTGGTCTGCAGATGGCATGCCTGTTTTCTATCACTGTTCTGGTACCACTCATTTTTATTTGGATGAAGGGGAGGTGGAGGCATTGGGGAGTAGCCAGCCCAAACAGAGGGCTTAGGCTTTTAAAAAAAATTTACCAAGAGAAAATTCACAAGCCATGAAGCTCACCTGCTGCAAGGACATAATCCATTTGTTTTTAGCGTATTCCCAGTGTTTCTCAGCCATCACCAATATATAATTTTACAGCATTCCTCCCTCCAAAAAAATCACACCAATCAGCACCACTCCCCATGTGCCCCTCCCCCAGCCTCAGGCACCTACTCATCTACTTTCTTTCTCTGTAGATTTGCCCATTCTGAGCCTTTCATACAAATAGAATCCCACCAGGTTTCGTACCAGGGATGCAGGGATGGTTTAACATTCACAATTCAACACCACATAAACAGAATTAAAAACAAAAATCACATGATCAATAGATGCAGAAAAAGCTTTCGACAAAATCCAGCATCTCTATGATTAAAACTCTCAGCAAAATCAACATACAAGGGACATACCTCAATGTAATAAAAGCCATCTATGACAAACCCACAGCCAACATAACACTGAATGGGGAGAAGTTGAAAGCACTCCCTCTGAGAACTGCAAAAATGTAGGGATGCCCATTCTCACCACTTCTCTTCAACATAGTACTGGAAGTCCTAGCCAGAGCAATCAGACAAGAGAAAGAAATAAAAGGCATCCAAATCGGTACAGAGGAAGTCAAACTGTCGCTGTTTGCTGATGATATGATCGTACACCTAGAAAACCCCAAAGATTCCTACAAAAAGCTCCTAGAACTGATAAAAGAATTCAGCAAAGTTTCCAGATGCAAAATTAATGTACACAAATCAGTAGCTCTCCTATACACCAACAGCGACTAAGCTGAGAATCAAATCAAGAACTCAATCCCTTTTACAATAGCTGCAAAAAAATAAAATACTCAGGAATATACCTACCCAAGGAGGTGAAAGACCTCTACAAGGAAAACTACAAAGCACTGCTAAAATAAATCACAGACAACACAAACAAATGGAAACACATCCCATGTTCATGGATGGGTAGAATCAATGTTGTGAAAATGACCATAGTGCCAAAAGCAATTCAATGCAATTCCCATCAAAATACCACCATCATTCATCACAGAGTTACAAAAAAAATTCTATAATTCATATGGAACCAAAAAAGGGCCCGCATAGCCAAAGCAAGACTAAGCAAAAAGAACAAATCCGGAGGCATCACATTACCTGATTTCAAACTATACTATAAGGCCACAGTCACCAAAACAGCATTGGTATAAAAATAGGCACATAGACCAATGGAACAGAATAGAGAACCCAGAAATAAACCCAAATACTTACCGCCGACTGATCTTTGACAAAGCAAACAAAAACATAAAGTGGGGAAAGGACACTCTATTCAACAAATGGTTCTGGGATAATTGGCAAGCCACATATAGGAGAATGAAACTGGATCCTCATCTCTCACCTTATATAAAAATCAACTCAAGATGGATCAAGGACTTAAATCTAAGACCTGAAACTATTAGAATTCTAGAAAATAACATGAAAAATCCCTTCTAGATATTGGCTTAGGCAAGGATTTCATGACCAAGAATCCAAAAGCAAATGCAATAAAAACAGAGATAAATAGCTGGGACTTAATTAAACTAAAGAGCTTTTGCATGGCAAAAGAAACAGTCAGCAGAGTAAACAGACAACCCACACAGTGGGAGAAAATCTTCACAATCTGTACATCTGACAAAGGACTAATATCCAGAACCTACAACAAACTCAAACAAATTATAAAGAAAAAAACCAAACAATCCCATCAAAAAGTGGGCTAAGGACATGAATGGACAATTCTCAAAAGAAGATATACAAATGGCCAACAAACATAGGAAAAAATGCTTAACATCACTAATGATGAAGGAAATGCAAATCAAAACCACAATGGGATACCACCTCACTCCTGCAAGAATGGCCATCATCAAAAAATCAAAAAATAATAGATGCTGGCACAGATGTGGTGAACAGGGAAGACTTCTACACTCCTGGTGGGAATGTAAACTAGTACAACCACTGTGGAATACAGTGTGGAGATTCCTTAAAGAACTAAAAGTAGATCCACCATTTGATCCAGCAAATCCACTACTGGGTATCTACCCGGAGGAAAAGACGTCATTATACAAAAAAGATACTTGCTCACGCATGTTTATAGCAGCACAATTCGCAATTGCAAAAATGTGGAACCAACCCAAATTCCCATCAATCAACGAGTGGATAAAGAAACTTTTATATATATAATATATATATATTTATTTATATATTTATATATATAAACTGATATATATGTGTGTGTATATATGTATATATATGTTATATATATGTATGTGTGTATATATATGTATGTGTGTGTGTATATATATATATGATGGAATACTACTCAGTAATAAAAAGAAATGAATTAATGGCATTCACAGAGACCTGGATGAGATTGGAGATTATTATTCTAAGTGAAGTAACTCAGGAATGGAAAACCAAACATCATATGTTCTCACTCATAAGTGGAAGCTAAGCTATGAGGATACAAAGGCATAAGAATGACACAATGGACTTTGGGGACTGAGAGGGAAAGGGCGGGAAGGGGGTGATGGATAAAAAACTACAAATAGGGTGCAGTGTATACTGCTCGAATGATGGGTGCACCAAAATCTCACAAATCAACACTAAATTACTAATCCATGTAACCAAACACCACCTATTCCCCAATAACCTAAATAAAATATAAAATAAAAATAAAAAATAAAAAACCAAAATAGAATGTCACCACATGTGGGCTCTCACTAAGCATCATGCTTTCAAGGCTCATGCATGTTGTAGCCTGTGTCAGTATTGGATTCCTTTTCATGGCTGAATAATATTCCCCACGGGAATGGGCCACATTTTGCTTGTGTGGATGGGCTGTGTTTTGCTTTGTCCTCTGATGGACATTTAGGCTTCTTCCACTTCTTGGCTGTTGTCAGTCATGCTGTGTACATGGGTACACCAGTCTCTGGCTGCTGTCAGTCATGCTGTGTACATGGGCGCACAAATCTGTGTGTGGACATTTGTTTCATTCCTCTGAGGTAGATGCCTAGAACTGGAGTGGCAGGATCACAGGGTCACTTTGTGAGTGACCATTTTGAGGGACGGTTTTCCAAGGTGCTTTCACTAGGAGTTGAAGCTCTGATGAAGCAGAAGACACATCGAATGAGGACCCAGAGCAGGGGTCAGAGGTGAGACCCCCCCACCAGGAGATGTCCTCCCTGGGGATGGCCAGACAGGCTGGGTCCTGTCGGTGCCTCGGACGAGGGCAGGTGGGGACAATGACAAACATGGAGGAGGTCAGAGAGCCAGCCCCGGCCCCTCCACCTGGCTCTCTGTTCTGACCTTGTAGCCATCAGTGGGCATAGTGAGGTGGGTGGGGCTCAGACACGCATGTGTGGGGAGCCCCTCCCCAGGATGGTCCTGGAGCCCTAGGATGAAGGCTCGGCCCCTGCCAGCTACCCGGAGAACCAGGGCAGGAAGAAAACATCTCTGCCCCTGGAGGCTCTCATTTGTCCCTTCATGGGGACGTGGCTTTGCTTCCAAGGAGGTGGACAAGGCTGTGTCAGTTTGGCCTCCGGCCCTGGGGACGGCTGCTGCTGGCTGTCCTGGGTCTGCCTGGAGGGGAGTGAGCGAGGCGGCTGTGCTGACCACAGGGAGCTCCATGGGGTGGGACTCCGGGAGGTCCTCCTGCTGGTGCTGGTCGCCTCTGGCGTTGACATGCAAGGGTCATTTGCTGGGGCAGGAGGCAGACCTGGGCTCTCAAATGCACACAGCGACCTGGCAGAAAGAGTGCAGCGGCTCGTACCACTCGCCCAACGCGGTATCGTGGACCACGTCTGAGTGCCAGAGCGGAGGGTGGCAGACAGAGCTGAGGGCTATTTGGAGAGACCTAGGAGGCTGGGGGTGTGGGGACAGGGTCCTCGGGGTCAGAGTCCAGGACCACAGGACCAGGAGGGAGCCAGGACCCTGAAAGTCTAGGCGAGGCCGCATGGGGCAGGGGGGCCCGCAGGCTTGGTTAGTGGGTGCCATGGTCCCTGCCCATCTGTGTTCTCGCCAGCGATGCCTGAGCAATGGGTATTCCAGAACCCCACGAATACTGGGCTGCTGGGCTCGAGTCCTGGGGGAGGGCGTGGTCCCCATGTCTTACTGTGGAGGAGATGAGGGCTGCAGGGATGGGCACTGTGGTCCATAGCTGGTCTCCCCAGGGGTAACAGGAGGGGTGAGGCTGCTGGCTGGAGCTAGGCCCCGGGTGGGCTACCCCAGTCCTGGGGGGCAGCCATGAGCTGGGGAGGGTGAATGTGGCTCAGGGGCCCAGAGTGCTGCCAGGGTCCACTTTGTCCCGAAACTCCTGGCCTTGGTTCCAGAGGCAGCTTTCCTAAGATGGGCCGGGGGGCCATGTGCTGGGGTTGGGGGCCCACGGGGCTAAGAGGGAGACTGGCCTTCAGGGTTCACAGAGGCCAGCACCAGAAGGCATTGCTTCCTGCCTCATCCCATGCCCCTCGGGGGTCCACAGACAGGATGAAAAGTCGACAGAGACAGAGGGGTGGAGCCAGGCCTGCTGGGGGTCAGGACTCTCCCTGCAGTCAGGGGTGGCATCACTTCCCACCTCACCCTGTGCCCCCCGGGGGTCCACAGACAGGACAGAGGTTGGTGTGAGACAGAGGCGGCTTTATTAGAACTAGAGGGGGTGCTGCCCAGGGTGGAACCAGGCCTGCTGGGGGTTAGTTCTGCAGAACTTGGGTCTGGGGGAGTAGCTGGGGTCTCTCATGCAGCCAGCATCTGGGAAGGACAGGGGGAGCATCCTGGTCCCTAAGACAAAGAGCCTGCCCCATCTTCTGAGGGTGTCAAAGCCAGAGAGGGCAGAGCTTGCTGGGGCAGCTGGGAGGTCAGCCCCTGGTGGGAAGGGACTCCGGATCACATCCAGGGCTGTCAGCAGCTGGACTTCTGGCCAGAGCAGAGGCTGTAGCAGGCAGGGCGGGAGCACATGGGGCGGCAGAGGAGGGAAACACAGGAGGCCGTGCGGCAGCAGCTGGGCTGGCAGGAGGAGGCAGAGGCACCACAGGAGGGGACGGGCACGCAGCAGGTGGACTTGCACACAGGGTGGCAGAGGAGGGACACGGAGGAGGAGGATCTGCAGCAGGAGGCGGTGCAGCAAGCCGGCTGGCAGCTAGACTGCTGGCAGCATGATGTGGAAGCCCCAGAGCAGACGGGCACACAGCAGGCGTGCTGGCAGGGGGAGGAGGTGCAGCAAGCTGGCTGGCAGCTAGACTGCTGGCAGCATGAAGAGGAATCCTCAGAGCAGGTGGGCACACAGCACACAGGCACGCAGCAGACGGGCACGCAGCAGGCCTGCTGGCAGGGGGAGGAGGTGCAGCAAGTTGGCTGGCAGCTAGACTGCTGGCAGCATGAGGGTGTGCAGGAGCTGGTGCAGCCTGATTGGCAGGGGCTGGGCTCACAGACCGCCTGGCAGCAGGGGCTGGACACACAGCTCACACAGCTAGACTGCTGGCAGCACGAAGAGGAAATCCCAGAGCAGACAGGCTTGCAGCAGACGGGCACACAGCAGGCCTGCTGGCAGGGGGAGGAGGTGCAGCAAGCTGACTGGCAGCTAGACTGCTGGCAGCATGAAGAATCCCCACAGCAGACGGACACACAGCACACAGGCTTGCAGCAGACAGTCTTGCAGCAGACGGGCACGCAGCAGGCCTGCTGGCAGGGGGAGGAGGCACAGCAAGCCAGCTGGCAGCTAGACTGCTGGCAGCACGAGGGCGTGCAGGAGCTGGTGCAGCCTGATTGGCAGGGGCTGGGCTCACAGGTCACTGGGCAGCAGGGGCTGGACACACGGCTCACTGGGGTGCAGACCAGGCTCAGGCAGGGGGCCGGGGCGCAGCAGGGGGGCTCACAGCAGCTCTCTGGGCAGTCGTCCACCTGCCAGGAGTCGGAGCAAGAGTCACAGGAACCAGGAAGGCAGACGCGGCTGCCGTAGCTCAGGTCGCTGGAGCAGACGGACATGGTGGACGCGGCCATGCTGGGGTTGAACTGGTGGAGGGTGAGGGAGTGAGCCTGTGAGGTGCTGAGGCTCTCGGGCTTTTATTCCACCTGGCCTTGTTGTCCCCGGGCCCACAGCTTCCCCTTCCGTGTTGCCGAGAGCTGGAGTCTGCCGGGATTAGGGGTGTTTGTTCGCCCGTGATGTGGGCCAGCTCATAAATCTCCCATCACATCTGGGCTGTGTCCCATCCCATGTGGATCCCTGGCGGCAGGAATTGGGCGGGGCCTGGTCCCAGCTGGGTTCGGGGAGCTGGGAGAGCCACAGGTCGCGGCATCGTCCACCCCTGGCCCCAGCAGCCCCGGGACACAGAGTCCCTCTGCAGGAAGCCGGCCTCAGGAAGTGTCCTTGTGGTGAAAACCCCTCATCCAGCGTGGTCCTTCCCCCATCACCGGACACAGGACTGTGGCCATCTTCTGAGGGACAACCTGGGGCCCATGAGCCTTCATTGACCTGCCCTGGGCCATGGCATGGTGGGGGTGGGGGGCAGCTGTAACTGTGCCCAGACCTCTTGGCTTTGAGCTCTGGACGACTTCTCATCCCCACAGCCTCTTCACCTCCGGCCCTGTTTCGTGTCCACCTCGTCTTTGTGTTTTGGAGGCAGCAGGACCTGTGTGTTCCAGGGCAAGGACGGTGGGCTTGGCCCCTCCCTGCTTGGACAGCATGACAGCCTTCTGGGCTGTGGTTTTGGGTTCTGAACCTGCAGAGTAACCGTGCTGAGCAGCGGGCGGTCAGCAGCCCTCGTCCCCGCCTGGGGTGGCTCCTCTGTGTGCTCTGCTTCTCCGAGGCTGCCCGTCAGCCCCCACCCAGCCTCCTGCTGGGCCCATTTCCCAGCCCTGTCTTCCAAGCCCTGTGCCAGGCCTCTTAGTGTCACCACCTTAAAATTAAGGGACATCTGTCCAAAGAACCCGCACAGAAGACACAAAATGGGTCCATGAGAAGTTGATCTCACTGCAAACCCATTGCCAGTGTAAACGAAACATAAAATCCTAAGCCCCTCAACTGACTAAATGGATCCCATCTTGCCCACGGGGACCCCCGAAAAACTGCGTTCCTGGCCATGACAGGAAGGGAGGTCAGACACGCCTCGTTACACCCCCTCCCTTTAGGGTTTCGACACAACCACTACCCAGCACTAAAGTTAAAATAGAGACCGTAAGACCCACAGAGCAGACTCTGGCAATAAGATATCAAATTACAAACAGGACCTCAGGCCGCGCCAGGCAAGGGACAAGCCGCGTGCCCTACACTGAGAGGACGGACTCTGCTCTCACGCCACAGCTGCTGTTTTTCTACAGTGGCTAAACACGCACTGGCCCCGCGATGAGGATGAGCAAGGTTCAAACGACTGCAGCTCATCCACCAGCAGATGCCAACTGACCACGTTCCACAGCCATGACCACAGCTCTGACTGGGCAGGAGACTGACTTCAGGAACCTCCTCCTGATAAGGGACCCCCAACCATGGACTGGCTCCAGCCGGTTTACAGAGGCTGTGCACTGGAGTGCCTTTGTGTCCTGAGAAGACTTCTGAGGTTTAGGGCCTCATTGCGACCCATTGACATGATAAGACTCCACCCTGTAAGAAGTACATTTCAAGTGGTCCGTATTCAGAAAACAGGCCCTGGCAAGTCCAGGCAGCTCCCTTGCAGATGTGACAAGCCACACAGTACAGACATCTGGGAAGAGTGATAAGACTCACAGAAGTCAGAGGGGAGGAAGAAAAAGTGACGGATGGCTAACACATAAAAGGAAAGAAACTTTTGCCATTGAGAAATCAAATGTAAAGTGGGGAAGGGGACAAGATGTAACCTTATAAGGGGATAATGAAACTTAGGTGACGTCCAGGAAGCCTGTGACCCCATAGTACTCAGGCTGCGAGGAACTGGGCGAGGGACCTGCACACTAGGGGATAAATTGCTTGTTGAAAGTGTGCTGGGTGTGCCCGCCCATCAGACACCAGATCTTGCAAGACCGACATTAAAGTCTCACTTTCACTGTTCTTCATGCCTCTAAGTCCATTCTTTGGATTTGGACGGGTCAGTGTGTTTCTCACAACCGCAGAGTGAAAACAGGTCGTATGTTACATGCATGTTTGTTCAGTTCCTCCTTCGTGAATATTCACTATTCCTCCATAACCTATTGCACATGTGTATTCAGCCAACCTGGTCAGCGTGGAGCTCCTGCCCCAGCCCCTCCTCCTGGCTCTCGTCTTGGCCAGAGGCTGTGCTTCCCGGCCTGCAGGATGGCTTTCTTGCAGGCTGTGCCCCTTTAGAAGAAACAAAGTCTCCTCTTTTTTTCCAAACTTACGGATCTGTGATTTTTTTTTTTTTTTTTTGAGATGCAGTCTCACTCTGTTGCCCAGGCTGGAGTGCAGTGGTACGATCTCAGCTCACCGCAGCCTCCACCTCCTGGTTCAAGCAATTCTCCTGCCTCAGCCTCCCGAGTAGCTGGGATTACAGGCATAAGCCACCATGCCTGGCTAATTTTTGTATTTTTAGTAGAGACAGGGTTTCACCATGTTGACCAGGCTGGTCTCAAACTCTTGACCTCAAGTGATCCACCTACCTTGGCCTCCCAAACATGCTAGGATTACAGGCCTGAGCCATTGCACCTGGCCAGATGGTGATTTTTTTAAATGAACACAAGCAGTCACCCAATTCTCTTCTCAGGAAGCAGCTACTTTCACCCATTTATTCTCTTTCTCTCTGTATCTCTCCATCTCTCTCTGTCTCTGTCTGTCTGCCTCTTCCGTATATGCACACACACAGCCCATTCTCATTATTCCCAGAGGCTCTGTTCTATACAGTCTCCACCAGCACCGAATAACCAAATACTGAACCACTGCTCCTACAGGAAGCACAGGGTTATGGTCTCATGAGCCTCTGATCACAACATTCCCATCACCTAATCAATGCATAGACATGTCTTACGAATGCTTCTGTCTGAAGACACCTTACTGAATCTATATAGTTGATTTATCAACACTGAGCCCCAGCCAACAGCCCTACAGAGCCTGAATGAAGTTGGTTGAACACATGTGTTTTCTCTGTAAGACGTGCTGGAGCCTTCTGAGCTCCGGACACCCAGCAGCACAGCAGCACTGCACTGGGGCACTTTAAACAACAAGATCAGAGCATCGTGGAGGAACGTGCGGCACTGAGGAGAACATAACAAGGACACCTGTTTACCATATGCGAGCTGAGACAGGAAAGCAAAACATCACCTCATTCTATTATGTGTATGTGTAAACATATATGCACATACACATACATACATATAATGCCTCTGTACACATAAATTTTTAAAATGCAAATTATGTCATACTCTACCCACTATGTTTCTGTAAACATGGAGCTCCTTTCCTGTGAATACATAATGATCTCTGTCTTGTTTACAGCTGCATAGAATTCCATGTGGTCTGTGTGTTCATTTTCTATTGCTGTGGAACAAAGTACCACAAGCTTAGTGGCTTCAAATAACACACATTTATCATCTCGGTTTCTGTGGGTCAGGAGTCCAGGCACAGTTAAATTGGGGTCTCTGTAGGGCTGTATTGGAGTGTCTCATGGGAAGGTTCAATTGGAGAAGGATCCACTTCCAAGCTCATGTGATTGTTGGCAGAACTCAGTTCCTTGTAGCTTCTTGGACTAAGTGCCTCAGTTTGTCACCAGCTGTCAACTGGAGGCTGCCATCATCTCTTTCCATGCGGCCTCAACGGGCAGCTCGCAATGTGCTGGCTTTTTCACAGCTAGCCAGGGAGACAGAGTCCTCCCGAGACGAGCATTATGACCTTATGTAATGGGATCATGCACATCCCATCACCCTCTCTGTGGCTCCTTGTGTCTATACACGTGTCACAGTCCCAACCACACTCAAGGAGTGTGGGGCACACAGCCAGTGACCACTAGGAGGTGAGGGACATGGGGCCACCCTAGAGTCTGTCTCCCGCTGTCTGGACAATGTCATGGCTGTGATACCTTTGCACATACCTTGTATCCACCCAGGAGTATCTACAGGATGCTTGCTTAGTGATTCAGGCTTAAAGGCATGAGGTTTTGAATTGTGATGTGTAGCAGCAAACTGCCTGCCAAAGCCGTGGAGCAACCTCAGCCCAGCAGCAAGTCATCTGGGTAGTCTGCCCACACCCTCGCCAACCCATGTTGGGAACATCAATGGTTTTCATTTTTTCCAATATAAAAAATGATATCATATGGCCATTAAATTTGTTTTATCTCATTTTAAATGGGGCTGAGCACGTTTTCTCATTTAAGAACCATGTATATTTCTTTCAATTGTCTCTGTATCCTTTGCTCACTTTCTGTTATGTTTCTGTTATTGATCTTAATAACTCGTGGGAGCTCTTTGGATATTAAGCAAATTAGCCCTTTCTCTGATATACAGATAGGAAATGTGTTTCCCATATTGTTGTCTTTTGACTTGGTTTATAATGTTTTCTCTCCTGCAATTTAAAAATTTTTACATAATTAGTTTTATCGGTTTTTTAAATGGCTTCGGTGTTTTACTCAAAACTTAGAATAGCCCTTTCCACTCTGAGATGATTTTTCTTTCCCTTCCTATCATTATTGACAGGTGTATTAACATCCCCCACTATGATTTTCCCTTTTCTCTATTTCTACTTTTAGCTCTGCCAGTTAAAAAAATTAAAAAACAGTTTTTTATTTTAATTTTTTAATTTTATATTTTAAGCTATGTAATTAGATACATGCAGATTTAGAATTGTTACATCTTCCTGGTAGGTTGACTCTTTTAGCTTTATACATTTCTTTCTTCATCTCTATTGCTCTAAAATCTACTTTTTCTGATATTCATAAGTCACACTAGCATTTTAGTTAGTGTTTGTGTGGTGTATTTTCTTCCATCTTGTTACTTTCAAGCTTTCTGTGCTCTTTTTCTTTTTCTTTCTTTCTTTTCTTTTTTTTTTTTTTGATGGAGTCTCACTCTTGTCGCCCAGGCTGGAGGGCAGTGGTGCGATCTCGGCTCACTGCAACTTCCACCTCCTGGGTTCAAGCGATTCTCCTGCCTCAGCCTCCCAAGTAGCTGAGATTACAGGTGCCCACCACCATGCCCGGCTAATTTTGTATTTTTAGTAGAGACAGGGCTTTACCACGTTGGCCAGGCTGGTCTCAAACTCCTGACCTCAGGTGATCTGCCTGCCCCAGCCTCCCACAGTGCTGGGATTACAGGTGCGAGCCACAGCACATGGCCTCTATGCTCTTGTATTCAGGCTCTGTATCTTGTAAGCAGCATGTAGTTAGGTTTTCTACTTTTTATTCAGACCAACAATATATTTTAATTGGAATATCTGATACTTTATTGACTGATGATTTAGTTTATATCTATCTGCCATCTGACTGTACAATTTCTATTTGTCCCAATTTTTTAACGTTTCTTTTAAAAATCACTTCCTGTCTATTTTGGATTAATCAAGTATTTTTTATTATTTATTTTCCCTCTTCTGTTCTATTCATTATTCGTGAGATAAGGCAAGGCTTCTCTTCAAACAGGCTGCTCAACCTTTTGTTCTTTAATTCCTAGTACCCCCGCCCCCTCTCTTTCTTCTCCTTTTCTTCTTTCTGACTTTACTACATGCCCAGGCATGCCGCAACATCACTAGCATTATCAGCACCAGCTCGCATTCCGTTCTGTATTTAGGAAAAGACTGGCTCTCTAGTTTCCCGTAGATGACCCCTTCCTCCTCTCCCGTCTCTCCCATTATGCATCCATTTTATCTAAGAAAGTTTAAATGTTTAGCCAATCGGGTCTAGTTTAAATTGTGCGGCGCAATCCCAGCCAATGGGGAAAGGACACAGGGGCAGGATCACGTTAGGAATAAAAACTTCTACTCTCCTTTGTTCTGTGTGCTCTCGTGGCAACCAGCCATATGGGAGACACCCTCCTGCACAGACATACATTTGCTTTGCTGAGAAATCCTTTGTCTCAGTGCTCGTTTTTCCTTACGACTCTGAGCCTTATTTCTAACATTATTGATTATACATTGATTATACATAGTTTTTACTATCTCTTCCGTGGTCACTTTAGAGATTATAGCACACATTCTTAGATTATTCAAGTGTAACATATGTCAGCACTTCCGCCGCTTCCAAAACAATGCTGAAACCTTAGAAAACTTTCACTCCATTTATCCTTCTCACCTTTTATTGTTAATGTCATCATGCATTACTTTTCTACTTCTAGTTTAGACCCCACAAGAGATTATAAATATAATAATATTACCCTTTCAGATCCTCCTGGTTCCTTCCTGCATTTTTATCCTTCCGTCATCCTGCCTAAAAAAATCCCCTTTCATAGTTACTGTAGAGTAGGTCTGCTCGTGTTCAGTTTGCTCAGTTGTTATCCAGAATTGTTTTGTTTCATATTTCACCTTTGAACAATGTTCTTCCTGGTCTAGAATTCTAGGTTTGCAGTGATTTTCTTTCAGCTCTTTAAAGATGTCATTCTATTACCTTTAGTTTCTTCAACAGCTCTTTTAGGAGAGCTTTAAAGGAATCATTTTTAAAACATTTTGTTCAGCTTTTCAAGTTGTTCTCAGCAGGAGTATATGTCTGACATAGCTACTTTGTCCCATATGGAAGCAGAGGCCCCCATTTTCTCTCTCTCTCTCTCTCTCTCTCTCTCTCTCTCTCTCCTTCCATCCCATAGGACCAGATCCTGTACCTCTGGAGGGACCAGGCCATGCTCAAATTTATATTATTTTTATAGTTCAAAATATACAGAAAGACAATTCATCCCACCGTGTAACTGAATTTCTAGCCCTCTGAGGCCTTTTGTACTTTTCCTAAATCCCCTAGGAGTTAAGAGGCCTGGACTGGGAAACACAGATAGAGACACAGGACACCCTGAGCCTCTGAGACTTGCCTGGGCATCAAACCCCACCAGAAGGGCCCCTGGAGCCCTCTCCCCTGGGTAGGGGCCACTTCTCAGGGCCGCATGCATGCTGGGCTATGGCTGGTCATCACTGACATCACCAGGCACCAAGCAGCCCACCTCCCTCCCTGGTGGGGTCCACAGTCAGGGTTACTACCCCTTCACTTTCACATTCTCAGCACCTGGTGCAATTTCCAGCATGTGGGAGGACTCACTGCATCATGAATAAATGAATGCTTGAGAAGTAAAAGTATCGGATACAATTGGAAACATTTAGCAGAAACAACCAAAAAGATGTGGTGGCCAATTGGATATTATTTGCAGAAGAAATGGAGACTTAGATCAGATGTCTAGCTGGGGTGACCAAGGACTTAGCTGGCAATCAAGAAAACACACTGCAAGCGAAAGCAGTGCTTGCTGCTTTTCACACGGCAGTGCTGTTGAGAGTGGCTGTGCTTTTTGCGGAGGAGGTGTTCTGGGTTAGACTTACAGGTTTGCAGTGCTTGGGATAAAACCAAATGGAAATGGGGGCCCCAAACAGGGATCTGGGGCCTCCCTAAGTGCCCAGATGGAAGAGGGGGTGCACGGCCCCCCAGGAACTACTGTGAACCTGACGGGAAATGGCTCACACCACTGTCCACCCTTTCCCGTTTGCCACTTGCTCTAAAGCCCTTGGGGGGACTTTATGCACCAGAGAGAGTGTGGGGAGTCACTTCTAGGAATGTTCCACCCTCATGCCATCATTGACAGGGGCTTCTCTAGCCTGGCATTCCAGAAGCCACAGCCACCCAGACAAGCAGAGTCCCCTGGCGATGGCCCACAGGCGCTGGGATTAGGATGGATGGATCTCTCCTGCAGCCAGCACAGGCCCCTGGGACACTCTATTTGCAGACATTACACCCTGTCTACTTCAATATTATGCTCTGGAGCCAAAGGTAGGTGAGGGTGCGTCAACGGAACCAAATATAGACTCAGGACTTTACAAACTGAACGGCATCTCATAGGACTAAACATGAAACTCGCACTAATAAGCGTTCTCTAGGTTTTAAACACAAACAAGGAAGGGGCAGGAGTTGTTGACACTCCAGCTGGGACAACAGACCAGGGAGACATATAAAAGCCAACATCCCTGAGCACCTAACACACGGACTCACTCACTCATTCACTCACTCACCCACTCACTCCCATCTCCTCCAGTTCAATCCCCAGCATGGCTGCGTCCACTATGTCTGTCTGCTCCAGCGACCTGAGCTACGGCAGCCGCGTCTGCCTTCCTGGTTCCTGTGACTCTTGCTCCGACTCCTGGCAGGTGGACGACTGCCCAGAGAGCTGCTGCGAGCCCCCCTGCTGCGCCCCGGCCCCCTGCCTGAGCCTGGTCTGCACCCCAGTGAGCTATGTGTCCAGCCCCTGCTGCCGAGTGACCTGTGAGCCCAGCCCCTGCCAATCAGGCTGCACCAGCTCCTGCACGCCCTCGTGCTGCCAGCAGTCTAGCTGCCAGCTGGCTTGCTGTGCCTCCTCCCCCTGCCAGCAGGCCTGCTGCGTGCCCGTCTGCTGCAAGACTGTCTGCTGCAAGCCTGTGTACTGTGTGCCTGTCTGCAGTGGGGATTCTTCATGCTGCCAGCAGTCTAGCTGCCAGTCAGCTTGCTGCACCTCCTCCCCCTGCCAGCAGGCCTGCTGTGTGCCCATCTGCTGCAAGCCTGTCTGCTCTGGGATTTCCTCTTCGTGCTGCCAGCAGTCTAGCTGTGTGAGCTGTGTGTCCAGTCCCTGCTGCCAGGCGGTCTGTGAGCCCAGCCCCTGCCAATCAGGCTGCATCAGCTCCTGCACGCCCTCGTGCTGCCAGCAGTCTAGCTGCAAGCCGGCTTGCTGCACCTCCTCCCCTTGCCAGCAGGCCTGCTGTGTGCCTGTCTGCTGCAAGCCCGTCTGCTGTGTGCCCACCTGCTCTGATGATTCCGGTTCATGCTGCCAGCCAGCTTGCTGCACCTCCTCCCAAAGCCAGCAGGGCTGCTGCGTGCCCGTCTGCTGTAAGCCTGTGTGCTGTGTGCCCGTCTGCTCTGGGGCTTCCACTTCATGCTGCCAGCAGTCTAGCTGCCAGCCGGCTTGCTGCACCACCTCCTGCTGCAGACCCTCCTCCTCCGTGTCCCTCCTCTGCCGCCCCGTGTGCAGGCCCGCCTGCTGCGTGCCCGTCCCCTCCTGCTGCGCCCCCACCTCCTCCTGCCAGGCCAGCTGCTGCCGCCCAGCCTCCTGTGTGTCTCTCCTTTGCCGCCCCGCATGCTCCCGCCCGGCCTGCTGTGGCCCCACCTCAACCCAGAAGTCCAGCTGCTGAGTGATCTCCTTAAGATCATCCAAAGCCTGAGTGCTCACTGCCACCTGCACCCCTGGATTCTTTACCCTTGACGGCTCTCCACATCCCGCTCCTAAGCCCTGCAGTGGACGTCAGTGGTCAGCTGGCCATCCAGTGTGCGCTTCTCCTCCTAGAAGCAGCTCAGCTGTTTCTCCAAGTCTTGACTTTCCCCCAATTACCCAGCCCTGCTTCCCCAGCAACAGGTGGGCAGTGACCCCAGCAAGGCCAGCGGGTGCTCCCAGGCCATAGCCCGGTGTGGGGAGAAATGAGGGTAGACAGGTACCAACTGGGTTTCTCGTCACTGTCCCAGCTCAGTGGCGAGCCCTGCTCCTCCCCTGCTGTGGGCCTGGGCCTCTTTCTCTGTCTTCCCTGACCACGGGAGCAGGTCAGACCCTTCTAATAAACTCCTTTCCTAAAAAGTACAACTGGAATTCATTCTTGTTGTTCACAACCAAAGACCCCTGCCTGATGCCCCCCACCCGCGGGTGGTCCTGGGCTGCTCCCACGCCACGAGGTCCCTGTCCTTCCCAGGCGTCCTGGCAGCCCTGCACCAGCCTCACCACACGGATGTCCGAGGGGTAGGCAGGACTGAGGGATGGGAGAGGTGAGGGATCCAACAGCAGCGCCTGCCCTGGGTGGGGCTGCTTTGGGGCCTCCCCAGAAACTGGGTTGTGTCCAGCCCCTGGCTCCAGAAAGGAAACCCCATGGCCGTGTGCAGAATGGGTCCACACGGTGGGCGGGGACGGCCATCCTGAGGCCCGCTGGCCGGGCTGGCCCTTGGCTGGCGTCTGGGAACTGGGATTTCCGAGGGGCTCCCCCCGGCCCCGCCTCACTGGGCCTGAGCTGTTTGTACCATGTGGTTTAGGCCGAACACCCACATCCCTGCTGGGAGTCTGGAATTCTGGCGTAGCCCAGGCAGAAGCTGCTCACGTGACCAGTCCCCGGGTACATCACCGGGCAGGGCATCCCCAACATCGCACACGCAGCGTCCCAGCTGCTTGCAGAGGAGTGAGGCGCGTCCTGCGTGACCCCCACCCCAGGAGAGGCCTCCAAAGCTGAGCCTGGTGCCCCTGGACTCGGCCCCAGGAACCTTTCCCTTGGTTGATTTTGCTCAGTGTCCTCCCTGTGGGAAATCACAGCTGTGAATACCACAACCTGTGTGGCCTGTGTCCTCCTGGAGAATCGCCGTCTTGGGGACCCTGACACAGACCCCAAGCTGCCCTTCCCAAGCAATGACAATGCTGTCCTAGGACAGTGCTGGGTGCATTTCTGGTAGTGCTTCCTTTGACTCCTGCTCCAGAGGGGGTGGAGACAGAGAAGGAGGCTGGGTGAGGCCAGGCCATCGTAGGTTTCATGAGGAGCAGAGCCGACCTGCGCCTGCAACGAGCTGTCCCTCCCCTGTGGTGGCCACAGAGGCTGTGGCCTGAAACTCTGGCGTGGGGCTGGAGCACCAGCTGGCAAGGAATAAGCCCCCACATGTCCCACCTGGCACTCCTCTGCCCCTACCCCGGCCCCTGTGCAGAAGAAATGAGCCAGGCTTCTCTCTGGCACCAGGGCTACACCCTAAGTCAGCATCCCAGGCTTTGCGTCACTGGCTCCCCTCTGGTTCTCCAGGAGGCACCAAGGGGACCCTGTGGTGAGTCCCCCAACTACAGGCACCTGAATCCCACAGACGGCAAGATGGAGGGGCCTTGCTCAGAGAAGCACGTCCTCCTCTGCGGATCCCAGACTCGGCTCCTCCCCTAGGCATGGCCCCAGCAAGCATCCAGGCATGTGAGCCTCTGGGGAAACACGCCCCCCACGCCCCGGGTGTGAACTTCAGGGGAGGTGTGCTGTGGGGCAGAAACATCAAGTTCCCTTCCAAGGGCAACAGGTGGAACTTCAGAACCTCCTGCAAGAGGAAGGGCGTGCCAGGGTGGCTGAGCAGAGAGAAGCAGCCTCCTCCAAGGGGCCATTCTCAGCCGCACCACAGAAGCTGACGGTGGCTGAAACTGCCCTTTGTCACCTGGACATTCACCATTTGCCCTGGTCAACAATGCCTACCGCCATCCCTGGTGAAAGAACCAATATCTCACAAAAAATGCAAAAGGCACAAATCATTAGAGAAAATACTGACAATCTTGAATGCAGCAAAATGCACACAAAAGCATAAGCACACAATCAAAGTTTCCACCAATCCCATCCCAGAGAAGCCACCTGTGGGGCATCACGGGGAGACTGCGGGCTCACTGTCTCCCTCCTGGGCACGTGGGCTGGCAGGTTCCAGCCACCTGCAGTTAGTTAGGGCCACATGATGAGTTTCTATTGGTTAAACGTGCATGGAGAGATGTCTGCCACTTCCACGCCACAGGTTGTGGGAGCCCTGCTGCCTCTCTTCCTTGCCGGGCTATCTTGGAGGCTCACGTGCCAGAGAGTGGGTCCACAAGGTAGGGGCGCAGCATGCTTGGATGGCAATGTGAGGAGTGGGGAAGGCCTTGTGGGCTTAAGCCATTGACATGTTGACTTCTGTTGGTTTCTGAACCAGCATTGATGACCTTCACCCACAGTATGTAACAAAAGATTCAAATTCAGAATTTATAAAGAAAACATAAAAAGAAACGAATAAAAGAGATGGAAATACGCAATTATAGGATAAGATGTCCAATGGCCAAAAATCACAGGATAAGATAGCCAATCTCACCTACCATCGAGACACCATGCACAAAAATTAACTAGGGGTGAACCCTAGACTTACATGTCAAAGATAAGATAATGAGATCTCTATATAAGATCACATCATCAGCAGAGACAGTCTCACTTCTTTCTTTTCTATTCAGTACCTTTTATTTCTTTTTCTTGCCTAATTGCTCTGGCTAGAACTTCCAGCACCACGTTAAATAGAAGTGACAAGAGTGGGCATCCTTGCCTTGTTTTTGATCTTAGAGAAAGAGCTTTCAGCTTTTCACCACTGAGTATGGCATCAGCTGTGGGCTTGTTGCATATGGCCTTTATCGTGATGAGGTGCGTCTCTTCTATGTCTATTTTCTTGAGAGTTTTAATCATGAATGAATGCTGAATTTGTTCAAATGGTCTTTTGCATCTATTGGGGTGATCATGTGTTTTTTGTCTCTAATGTTAGTGTGATGTATCACATTTATTGATTTATATATGTTGAACCATTCTTGCATCCCTGGGATAAATCCCACTGGATCATAGTGAAGGATCTTTTTAATGTGCTGTTGAATTCAGTTTGCTAGTCTTTTTTTGAGGATTTTTGCATCTATATTCGTCAAGGACGTTGGCCTGTAGTTTTCTTTTCTTGTAAAGACTCTACCTGTTAGTCTTCAAACTATTAGGACTGATAAACAAATTTAATAAAGTTGCAAGTTAAAAAATCAACATACAAAAATTAATAGCATTTCTATATACTAACAATGAACAATGATCCAAAAAAGAGATTAAGAAAACAATACCATTTACAATAGCATGTAGAAGAGTTTAGAAAGATATTTAACCAAGGAGGTGAAAGATCTGTACACTGAAAACTACAAAACATTGATGAAAGAAGTTGAAGACACAAATAAATGGAACAATGTCCCATATTCACGGATTACAAGAATTAATATTGTTAAAATGTCCATACTACCTAAAGCTATCTACAGATTCAATGCAATCTCTATCAATTTCAATATCATTTTTACAAATACATAGAAAAGAACAATCCCAAAATTCATATGAAACCATAAAAGACTCTGAATAGCCAACACAGTTTTGAGTAGGAAGAACAAAGCTGGAGGCATCACACTCCCTAATTTCAAAATACTTTAAAGCTATTGTAATCCAAACACCATGGGACTGACATAAAAATAAACATATCAACCAATGGAATGGGATAGAAATCCCAGAAACAAACCCAAGTGTTTGTTGTCAATTTATTTCTGACAAAGGTGCCAAGAACAAATGATGGGAAAAGGACAGACTCTTCAATAATCAGTGTTGGGAAAACTCAATATCCATGTGCAGAAAACTAAAATTGAACCCTCATCTTACATCATATGCAAAAATCAACTCAAAATGCATGGAAGACCTCGGCATAAGACCTGAAATGTGATACTGCTAGAAGAAAGCATAGTGGAAAATCTCCATTACATTGGTCCAGGCAATTATTCCTTGAATAGGACCCCAAAAGCACACCTAACAAAATAAAACATAGACAAATGAGATTGCATCAAACGAAAAAGCTGTACAGCCAAGGAGACAATCAACAGGATGAAGAAACAACCCATGGATTGGGAAAAAATATCTGCAAACCATATATTTGATGAGGGACTACTACTCACAATAAGGAACTCAAACAACTCAGTAGCAAGAAAATAAATAACCCAATCTAAAAATGGACAAACAGCCTGGCAACAGAGCAAGACCCTGGCTCAAAAAAAAAAAAAAAAAAAACTACATAAATAAATAAAAATGGGCAAAAGACCTAAACAGACATTTCTCAAAAGAAGCCATTTAAATGGACAGCAGGTATATTTTTAAATGCTCAACATCACTAGTCATCAGGAAAATGCACATTGAAGATGCAATGAGACATCACCTCACACTTGTCAGAATGGTTCTTATCAAAAAGATGAAAGCGAACAAGTGTTAGGGAGGATGTAGAAAAGAGGGAGTCTTGTACATTGTTGGTGGGAATCTAAATTAGTACAACCACTACGGGAAACAGTATAGCGGTTCCTCAAAAAACTAAAAATAGAACTTGCCTATGATCCACAAATCCCACTTCTGGTTTTATATCTAAAATAACTGAAATCATTCTTTTGGGGAGAGGTCTGCACTCCTATGTTCATTTCAGTCTTATTCACAATAGCCTAGGTATGGAATCGATCTCAGTTCATCAATTGATGAATGGATAAAGAAAGTGTGGCATATATACACAATGGAATACTATTCGGCCATGAAAAGGAGAAAAATTCTGTCATTTGTGACAACTTGAATGGACCTGGAGGACATTATGCTAAGCGAAATAAGCCAGGCACAGAAAGACAAATGGCATGATTTGTGTCTAGAATCTAAAACTGTCAAACTTAGAAACAGAGAGCAGAAAGGTGGTTACCAGAGGCCGGGGGCTGCCAGAGGAGAGGAATGGGGAAGGGAGATGTTGATCAAAGGAAACAACCTTTCCATCACACTGGAGGAAAAAGCTTTAGTGACCTACTGCATTGCATGGTGACACATAAAAATAATGTGTTGCATACTTCAAAACTGGTAAAAGAATATACTTTTAATTTACCAGAAAAATGGTAAGTTGGTGAGATGATGGTTATGTTAAGTAACTTGATTTCATCTTTTTTGTTTTGTTTTGTTTTTTAGACACAGTCTTGCTCTGTTGCCAGACTGGAGTGCAGTGGCACAATAGCTCACTGCAACCTCCGCCTCCCGGGTTCAAGCAATTCTTGTGCCTCAGCCTCCCAAGTAGCTGGGACTACAGGTGCGCGCCACTACACCCAACTAATTTTTGTATTTTTAGTAAAGACAGGGTTTCACCATGTTGGCCAGGATGGTCTTGATCTCCTGACCTCATCATCCACCTGCCTTGGCCTCCCAAAGTGCTGGGATTACAGGGCTTGATTTAATCTTTCTACAATGCATGCACAGGTCAAAACGTCACATTATAGATCAAAACATCACATTATACCTAGTAAATACACACAATTATTATTTGTCAGTTTAAAAATTAGTAAATGAACAATGAATGAAATAAAAATAATGAAGCTCTAGAAGCACATATAGGGGAATGTCTTCACGACGTTGTGGTAGGCAAAGACTTCGGGAACGGGGTAAAAATGCCACACATAAGAGAGTAAATTAGTAAATCGGATTTTACTACAATTAAGAGCGTCTCTTCATCAAATGATACTATTAATACCACACATCCATAAACATGACTCAGATTGAAATAGATGACCAATACCGAGTGTCAGCAAATGTGTGCAGGAAATGGAACTCTCCAACATTTGCTGGGGTGGGAATGTGAAATGGAAAAATCCCTCTGCAAAACAGTTTGGCAGTGTCATAAACATGACACACACACCCCCTTCACATGCCCCACACACTCCACCTCCTGTGTGTTTACCCAAGAGAAGTGAAATCATATCACAAAGACTTGCTCACAAATGTTTAAAGATGCTTTTGCCACACAAGTCATGTGTCCATCGACACATGGGTCAATTGTACTATAGAATTTGATTTACATGAAATTCCAGGAAAGACAAACCTATTTGAGACACAGAGGAGATCAGTCGTTTCCTGGGGCAGAGTCAGGAGGGGTGGGGATTGATCATGAAAAGTACACCTGGGAACTCGGAGATGATGGAAAATCCAGATCTTGCTTGTGGTAGTGGTTACATGGGTGTATATTTTCTCAAAACTCATGAAAAGGTAACTTTAAATAGGTACCTTTTACAGCATGTAATCATACTTCAATAAAGCTGACTTTTTAAAAACTTCATTTTTAAACCCCAGACTTGGATGGGTTATTTGCAATTCCCATACTCAGTGGTACACTAAAGCCAGCATGCCCTGGCTCATGAGAGCTGACATGCACCCCTCTCTTCCCATCTCTGTGTTAAGTGACATTGTCTTGGTAGCTTGGATTTAGCTGGGTTGGGAGCATTCACACGTGGACGTTGGCAAATGCAACCAATTGGGACTTTTGTTTTTGTTTTCGTTACAAAAACAAAAGCCAGTTATTGAACGTTCACTGACACACTGCATGTATACAACTCATATTCAGAATACATAATAAATTTCTGCAAATCAATAAGAAACACAAGTAGCCATATTTTAGAAAGCAAGCAAATGTCTTGAACAGGCACCTCACAAGAAAAGATATCCAAGGTTCAATGAGTGGCTTTACTCATCCGGGATATGCACATTAGTGCAACAGTGCAATATTCCTAAACACTTTCCAAAATAAACAAATTTTAAAAGACTGATCAACCTCATTTTGTAAAGATACAGAATAAATGGAATTATAAAATCAACTAGTGAGGATGTAAATTTCTTTAGAAAGTTGTTGGTATATGCTAAGCCAACATATGCCTATCTATGACCAAGCAATTCCACTTTTGGGAGCACAATGAAGAGAAATTAGTAAAAATATCAGTGAAAAAGTTTACAAGAATTTTTCTAGGAGCACTATTAACAGCAGCCCAAATCTGGAAACAATCTAAATCTCTAACACTGTGAAAGAGAATGGACAAATAACACGTTGTAGAATTTAATGCAATGGGGCAGCAAAAAAAGAGTGAAGTACTGATGCATGCAGCAACATGGTGCTTCTCACAGACATTGTGCTGAACAAATTGAACCATAAAACAAAAGAGTTCCATAGAACACGCAAAGCTAACCAATGAGGAGAGAAGGTAGAACAGCAACTAATACTTAGGGAGGAGGGACTAACAAAGAGATAGCATAAGGGATCATTTAGGACTCTGGTAATGTTCCACATCTTCCCCAAAATAGTCTAAGGGGAAATATTTCCACCCAGAAATTATATCCAGCTAAGCTATCAATCAAATGGAAGAGCAGAATAAAGGCATTTTTAGTCATGCTATGGCTCAAAAATATATCTTCCTTGTACCCATTTTCAGAAAGTTACTGGAGGATGTGCTCCACCAAAACAAGGATATAAATCCAGAAAGAAAAAGACAAGGCATCCAGGAAGTAATGGATCCAACATCAGAGAGAGATGAATGAAAATCCAAAGACAAGAGTGAAGGGAGATCCCAGGAAACCTGTGTACCAGGCTGAGGGAGCAGCCAATAGAGACTGGTCCACACATAAGACAGCTCTGAGAGAGATGTTTCCAAAAAATAAATGAAGCTAATAGATTGTTATATTTGAACCTCTTGAGTGGAGCATGGGGATGAATGAGTCAGAGTTTGGGGAGGAGCAATTGTTAACTCCAAGAGGGGAAAAACATAAACAAAAACAAAACATGTACAGATAAGGAAATTTAATCTGGTTCCACTATTCAGACTTGGCTATGAACAATATTTACTTTATTATAATATACATTCTGAACACTGATGTAACCAAATATTGATATTTTACTTCCTTTGCCTTCTGAGGATGGGAAGGGGGAACTTTTCACGGGCCTGGTGATAAACTAGAGAAAGTACTTTCCTCCACAATAGGAAATCAGATCATACCTGAAATTGAAAATGCAAGAAATAACAGAGCATGTATATTGTTTAATAATTCTGAGACAAACAGGAGAACTAAGAAGAGCATCTGGGATGGGCCTTGGGAGGGATGCATGCCAGAGAGAGGGGGGTGTTAAAGGCATTCAGTTTTATAATGAAAGCAGAGCATAAAAGTTTGAAAAATTTGTAGCCTGACTATGCAATAGAAAAGAAAAACCCATTTTCTAGGGAGAAATTCAAGCCGGATGCAGAAATTTGCATAAGTAGCAAGGAGCCTATTGTTAATCCCCAAGACCATGGGGAAAATATCTCCAGGCCATGTCAGAGACCTTCATGGCAGCCCCTCCCATCAGAGGCCTGGAGGCCTGGGAGGAAAAAGTGGTTTCGTGGGTCCAGGGTCCCCATGCTGTATGCAGCCTGGGTGAAAGGAGCCAATGTACAGCTCAGACTGTGGCTTCAGAGGGTGGAAGCCCCAAGCCTTGGCAGCTTCCATGTTGCGTTGAGCCTGCAGGTGCACAGAAGTCAAGAATTGAAGTTTGGGAACCTCCGCCTAGATTTCAGAAGATATATGGAAACGCATGGATGCCCAGGCAGAAGTTTGCTGCAGGGGTGGGGCCCTCATGGAGAACCTCTGCTACGGCAGTGCAGAAGGGAAATGTAGGGCCAGGGCCCCCACACAGAGTCCCTACTGGGGCACTGCCTAGTGGAGCTGTGATAAGAGGGCCACCATCCTCCAGACCCCAGAATGGTAGATCTATTGACACCTTGCACCATGTGCCTGGAAAAGCTGCTGACACTCAACACCAGCCCATGAAAGCAGCCAGGAGGGAGGCTGTACCCTGCAAAGCCACAGGGGTGGAGCTGTCCGAGACCATGGGAACCCACCTCTTGCATCATTATGACCTGGATGTGAGACCTGGAGTCAAACGAGATCATTTTGGAGCTTTAAAATTTGACTCCCCTGCTGGATTTTGGACTTGCATGGGCCCTGTAAAATCCCTTTGTTTTGGCCAATTTCTGCCATTTGGAATGGCTGTATTTACCCAATACCTGTACCCCTATTTTATCTAGGAAGAAACTAGCTTGTTTTTGATTTTACAGGCTCATAGGTGGAAGAGACTTGTCTTGTCTCAGATGAAACTTTGGACTGTGGACTTTTGGGTTAATGCTGAAATGAGTTAAGACTTTGGGGGACTGTTGGGAAGGCATGACTGGTTTTGAAATGTGAAGACATAAGATTTGGAAGGGCCAGGGACAGAATGATATGGTTTGGCTGTGTCCTTACCCAAATCTCGACTTGAATTTCATCTCCCAGCATTCCTACATGTTGTGGGAGGAACCCAGGGGGAGATAATTGAATCATGGGGGCCGGTCTTTTCCTGTGCTATTCTAGTGGTAGTGAATAAGTCTCACAAGATCTGATGGGTTTATCAGGGGCTTCTGCTTTTGCTTCTTCCTCATTTTCTCTTGCTGTCACCATGTAAGAAGTGCCTGTCAGCTCCCACCAAGATTCTGCGGCCTCCCCAGCCATGTGGAACTGTAAGTCCAATTAAAGCCCTTTTTCCTCTCAGTCTTGGGTATGTCTCTATCAGCAGTGTGAAAATGGACTAATACAGGGGCATCGCACCATAGTTTGCAGATGGAACAGGTAGGGGTGGCAGGGTGGGGAGCCAGGGGGCATTCCTAGCCGAGACACCCATTGTTCAATGGAGCAGAACTCTGGGACAGGTGGAGAACATCTGCTGGTAAAAAAACACCCCACCCCTGGTACCAAATACCCCAATAGCAAAGACATACAGGCAAAGACAGGAGGAAAGTGGGGCTGGGTTTTCCAGACTTGCCAACTCACGATCTGTTCAACTCCCAGCTCCACCAGCAGACACGCAGCATCACTGTGTGTGGTTGCAGGGCACAGACACCTGCAAGTGGTCAGCATCACCCAACCACATGCAGCAGTCCTGGGACCACAGTAACATCCCACAGCAAGTAAACTAATTAGGGTTGCCTGGAGGCAAAGTCTCAGCCACAACAAGGAAAGGGAAGGCTTGTGAGACTCCTGTGAGGAAAATACCCAGGGAGGGTATAAAACCTCAGCAGCCAGGGCACACAAACCCACACACCTCACACCAGCACTCACACCACCCAGTCCAGCACCCACCATGGCTGACGCCTGCTGCACCAGGACGTATGTGATTGCTGCATCCACCATGTCTGTCTGCTCCAGTGACGTGGGCCATGTCAGCCGAGTCTCCTCCCCCAGCACCTGCACTGGCTCCTCCTGGCAGGTGGACAATTGCCAGGAAAGCTGCTGCGAGCCCCGCTCCTGTGCCTCCAGCTGCTGTACCCCTAGCTGCTGTGCCCCAGCCCCCTGCCTGGCCCTGGTCTGTGCCCCAGTGAGCTGTGAGCCCAGCCCCTGCCAATCAGGCTGCACCGACTCCTGCACACCTTCATGCTGCCAGCAGTCTAGCTGCCAGCCGGCTTGCTGCACCTCCTCCCCCTGCCAACAGGCCTGCTGTGTGCCTGTGTGCTGCAAGTCCAACTGCTGCAAGCCCGTGTGCTGCGTGTCCATCTGCTCTGGAGCTTCCTCCCCATGCTGCCAGCAGTCTAGCTGCCAGTCAGCTTGCTGCACCTTCTCCCCATGCCAACAGGCCTGCTGTGTGCCCATCTGCTGCAAGCCCATCTGCTGTGTGCCTGTCTGCTCTGGGGCTTCCTCTCTGTGCTGCCAGAAGTCTAGCTGCCAGCCGGCTTGCTGCACCACCTCCTGCTGCAGACCCTCCTCCTCCGTGTCCCTCCTCTGCCGCCCTGTGTGCCGGCCTGCCTGCTGTGTGCCTGTCCCCTCCTGTTGTGTCCCTGCCTCCTCCTGCCAGCCCAGCTGCTGCCACCCGGCCTCCTGCCTGTCCTTCCTCTGCCGCCCCGCGTGCTCCCGCCTGGCCTGCTGAGGCCTCTGCTCAGGCCAGGAGTCCAGCTGCTGATGGGCACGTCCCCCAGGGCCAGCCGGCTCCGGTCCTGTCCTGGGTTAAGTGGCTGCCCCTACCTGGGATGGGGTCTCCATGTCTCCCCTGTGCTGAGGTGACCTCTCCCTCCTTACTCCCAGGAGCCTCCATCCTCACTGCTCCCCAGCTCTTGCCTTCCAGCAGGTGCCCACCTGCCTGCTGGGTCCCCTGTCCTCCCTCCCAGCTTCTCTGCTCTGGGTCACTTGGCCTCGACTTGAACCTCTCAGCACCTCCTCCTACTCCCCAATAAACTCTCCTTGGTCACCTGATTCTCTTTTCCTGTTGTTCTCCTGGGAGGACACACGGTTTTGAGCTGACATTGGTCTCCTCCAGCCATGACCGTTTCTAGGAGTGAGTTACTTAACCTAGAAGTCACAAGGGACAGTGGCCTAACTCCTCCAGGGGGTCACCAGGTGGGACTCACGGTCACTCCCAGGAAGGCTCAGTCCCGGCTCAGCCCCTGTGACCGGGTCTTCCTGAGCCTGGTCATTCGCTGTAGTGCCCTGGGCTGTGGGGCTCTCCAGGCCCCAGGACCAACCCACCCACTGTCCCACCTGGGAGAGCCCACCCTACAGAGTCACCTGCCGGGAAGCTGGCCTGGGTTCCGGGCACTGCAGCCTCCAGGCCTGGTCACCCTCCCTGTGTGCCGCCCGCCCGAGGGTTCTGCTCGCTTAGCAGCAATGCGAGGGGAGAGGGAGGGGCTGCTGCACCTGCGCAGGAGACAAGGGACTCGATGGGAACAAAAGCATCATGGACTGGGTGGAGGGACACACAGGATTCCCCCAGGATCTTGATGGAGACAAAAGCATCATGGGGTGGGTGGAGGGATGGGATGGGGGGATGCTTGCTGCCGACTGGGACATTCCCCAAGGCCCGCCGCCCCTGCCCCTGAAATGTGTGTCCTTCACGTCGTTTAGGTGCGCGACTTATGATTTTCAAGGCTTGTCCCTAATCTCTCCCAGGCCAGGCCTGGCCAGGTTCTTCAAGGCCCTGTGGCTCTGCCGCCCCGACCGGGGTCAGGGGTCCACACGGCTCCAGCTCAGGCCTCTCCTCCTCCCACCCTGCCCAGCGGCATAGGGACTGCCCCTGCTCTGCTGGGCTTGCCCATCCTGCCGTAGGTCCCTCACCTGATGACGCCATGAGCTCCTGCTCTGGTGTCTGTCGGGGTGTCTGGTGTCTGTCTCTGGGGACCTCAGCTCCCCCATCTTGCTCTGTCCACAGCATCAAGCCCCCCGCCCACTGCTTTGACCATTCACGATCTGTGACGCCAGCGTCACTCTCCCCCTCTACACCCATTCAAGCACAGCACACGGTCTGAGCTGGGGATGGCCGTCCCCACTGACGTCAGGCAGCCCTAAGTTGGCCTGTGCCGTGCACTTTGCATCACCAGCATGGGGACAGCGCCCAGAGACACGACCAGTAGTCACTGTGGCTGGAGGGAGCCCGGCTCCACAAGAGGCACCGTCCCCAGGGGGCTGTCAGGGTGGGCTCCCTTGCAGACAGGGAGTCCAAGAAACCTCTGCCATTCGTGAGTGACCAATCCCAGGGCCCAGGCGAGGGTGGAACAGAGTCCCTGGTCTGCCCTTCTCTCCTCCCAGTTCCAGGCTCGGTTCCTGGCAGGGCCGTGTGGCCGGGCTCCGGAACGTTCCTACTGGCCCCTCTCCCCTCTGACGGGGCCTGCCTGGGGGTGTTGGGCTGGGGGGACCATCACCAGCAGACAGATGAATGCATGACAGACTTCTCCAATGAGACACGCAGAGCAAGAGTTCAAGAAGACTCTGATGTGCTTGACTCCATAAGCAGACAGTAACCTCTCTATGCCACAAGACGACAGCAGAAAACCAGTGAAAAAGGAAGCCACGGTGTGTGAGAAGACACTCGACCGAGAAGATTTCAATGAGACAAAAGCATAAACTCCCAGGAGGAAATAGGCATGGACAGGCTACTCCCACCCAGCGGCCCAAATGGCCTTGGAACATGAGACATCGGCACCCCTGGAAGGCAGGCACCTGCCGACAGGAACCCCAGGCACCTCACCCCACCTGTCCTGGAAGAAAAAGCTGGACACACCCATCGCTCACCGGACGTGGCAGGCAGGAGCTCCAGCTGGCTGTGGAAATGGGGGATTGGCACCACTGCTTTGGGAAGAGGCGGGGCCGTATCCTACCATGTGAGAGGCCCTCCTGGACTCCGCCATGGGCAGTGCTGAAAAATCTCCGGCGCATGTACGTAAGCGGCACTGTTTGTTACCATGAAAAATTAGAAACAACCTAAATATCCATCCACGAGGGAATGGAGGCGAATGGAGCCAGCGCCGCACCACGGGGAGGCCCTGCACGAGGGCCGTGCGCTCACCCGACCCGCACACACGCAGGAGCGCGAGTGCCCAGGCTGCGGAAGAGAGTCCAGGCCGCACAGGTGCCAAGCGAGGCAGCGCTCTCTGGCCTGGGGACACGCTGTAGCAGTTTGTGTAAATAAGTGGATGGGATCCCACCTCTCAGCGGATTTTCCAGAGAAATAGCTGGGGGATTAAAGACATTTTTACCATGGAATTAATGACAGCGGGGATCTCACCACCCAGCTTAACCAGATGTCATTAATTCCATAACCAAAGGTTTTTTTTTTTTTTTTAAATTTATTCTGTTTTTTTGGAACCATTTGAAATTCAGTGCTGTAGCCACATGGCGGCACCTCCCCCGGGTCTCTCTGCAGGTGCCTCCTGGGAGTGAGGGCTTTCTCCCGCCTGCCCACAGCGAGTGCAGCTGAAGATGGCCAACTTCTATATATATATAGTTATCAAAAGAAGCAGAACATCATGCAACAGTCGTATCCAAATTTCCCAAAAAGCTCCCCAAATTGGAATCAGATAGGTCTGTGCACTGCCCTGGTGACCCTGAGGTTCTCGTCTCATTTAACCCAGGAGCGTCCTCCCGGGACCAGACCCTGAGCATTCTGGACACTGCTGGGAGGTCTTCATCAAGGAAAACACGCCCATGAGACAACTACTTCAGGCGGGGCCGCCAGGGACGCCAAAGCCACTGTCAGGAGGTGCTTGAGCAACAGGGTGTCCCCACAGTGCCACATCCCCCAGCGGAGGCCACACAGAGAAGACCACCCCATCGGCACAGACAGAGGTCGGCAGCACCTGGGCAGAGTGCAGCGTGTCGGCGGGCACCTCCCAGCGGGGCTTCCTATGTGTCACTGCACACATGCTTAGGCTCTCAGCCCGAGGCCACATCTGTTCGATGCAGGCAAAGGCAGCTGCCCCAGATCCCTGCCAGGGTCACCTCTGCTCTAACAACATGACAGCAGGGAACAAACCCCAGGGGAGGTGGACGCTCTCACGGTGCCCTTTTGTCTCTAAAGCGGGGAGAGATCTTACAATTCTTCTTTTTCTCTGCCAGGATGTTGCCTTGGGGGTGGGCACCTCCCTTCTCCACCCCACACCACCTTCCACACAACCACAGACACAAGGCTGGGGCACTGGCCCAAATGTCACAGGTGTGCAGCCACAGGGCTCTTACCTTTCACAGCCTGTCAGCCCCCGACCCTGGTTCCCCAGTCCCTCACCATGCTGCCTGGCCCTGCCTCCTCCTCCTCCCTGCCAGGTGCCTTCCAGAGCTTCACAGCCTCCTTCTCCACCTCCCACAACTCCAGTCCCTCTTCTCAGATCAGTGGGGCAAGCCTGGCTTTGTTTACCTGGAACCCGAGACCCTGCCCTGGTCAGCACCCAATTCGAGAGCTCTGCTCAGCAGTGAGAATGAGACACCGTGACAATGCGGCTGCGCACCGGACACCTGGCTCAGCGCAGGCAGCGCACGGACAGAGTCTGCGGTGTGACCACACCAAGCAGCCCTAAGGCAGCACGTGCCCGCACAAGCCTCAGCCTCTGCTCCGGTCACGCCTGCCCACTTGGGTGTATTTTTTGTCTGACTTTTGCTTCTGGGGCCGAACAACCCAGCGAATTCAACACAGCCCCAAGGCTGGGCTAAAAGTTCCTGGGAGGAACACGTGCCACAGCCTAGACACCCACCAGGAAAAGCAACCAGGAAAGGAGGGTGCAGTGGGGAACCCTGCTAGAAAACACACATGGGGGGTCTCTAAAACCCCAAGGGCCCCAAGCACCTCACTCACTCACCCACTCACTCACCTCACTCACCCACTCATGCCTCCCCCAGCTCACCTCCTCCACACCCCCAGCATGGCCACGTCCACCATGTTCATCTCCTCTAGCAGTTGCACTGACTCCTGGCAGGTGGCAGAGGCCCCAGCTGTGCTGGGAGGTGGGACATGGGGGGACACTTGGGCTCCAGCTGTCCCAGCGCTCAGGGAGTTCTACTCAGGGACAGCTTGGGCATCCTGGCCTCCTGTGCACGCTCACAGATGCTCAGGGGCGCCCTCTGCTCCAGCCCCAGGCTTGCCGCTGGGATGCAGAACAGAGAACAGACACACGGCCTCTGGAATTCCCTGTGCTGGGCTGGGTGGGCGGAGGGCCCCAATGGCAGAGGAAGTCCAGGACAGCGTGGGGACACATGCAGACCAGAGGGTGAGAGAAACACATGGACACACAGGTCCAGTTGTAGCCAGATGTGGTTTCAAACAGGATTGAGCAACAGATTCCTAGAAATACAACTGCAGGCAAGGGATGCTGGCAAGGTGTGGCCGTGACCAGGTTGCCTGCAAGAGGCCCTGAGTCTTTACTTCTTAAGAGCTATACAATCACAATGCTGGGGGCACACGTTATTCTTTCTTTGCCAATTTAATAAAGAAAAATATCTTATGGTTTTCTTCAGCAAGCTGCGCAGTGTTCCAAAGCGTGAACACGCTGCACTTGATGTCTGCAACACCAGGTGGATGGCACTGAATGTCTCTCTAGTTGTTCTTTATTACAAACGACACTTCTGTGTGTGTTTCCACTATATACCTTTCCACACTCAGATATGTGTTTGCCTAAATTCCTAAAAGTGGCACTTCTAAGCTGGAGTGTTAGCAGATTTCAAATTCATAAAGATATTTAGAAATACCCTCAAAAAGAGTGTCCAAACTGTGCCTGCTAAGACCGATGACAGAGGAAATGGTGGAGCGGGGAACTGTAAGGGCCTGTCCCTCCACAGAACATCAGAAACTGGCAAAACAAACAGATATGGTTGGACTTTTTGTCCCCATCCAAATCTCATCTTGAACTGTCATCCCCAGGTGTTGAGGGAGAGACCTGGTGGGAAGTGATTGGATCATGGAGTTGGTTTCCCCCATGCTGTTGTAGTGATAGTGAGTTCTCACCAGATCTGACAGTTTTATAAAGCAGTTTTCCCTGCTCTCACTTGCTTCTCTCTCCTGCCACCATGTGAAGAAGGTCCTTGCTTCCCCATTGCCTTCCACCATGACTGTAAGTTTCCTGAGGCCTCCCCAGCCATGTGAAACTGAGTCAATCAAAGTTCTTTCCTTTATTAATTACTCAGTCTTGGATAGTATCTTTATAGCAGTGTGAAAAAGGACTAATACACAAACAAACAAACACTACCTGGTAAAATCAACTTTATCCAAACTCTGGAAAATGGTCAAAGCTTTGCAGCAAGCAAGGGAACACATAATCAAGTAAAAGCAACAGAGCCCAATAGGAGAACCTTGTGGATTTTAACTTCCCCTTGCCCCATCCCCCATCCCCAGCTGGGTGACAGTCAGGAAGGCAGCAGCCGGAGTTCCTGGTGTGGGGTGCTGCTGCCAGGGAAGCAGAGTGGACCTTGTTTGTAAGGCAGTGCAGTTGCCTGTTTCGACCGTCTGGTGGCTCCCTGAAGGACTAACACACAGGGCTTGCCTTATTTCACCAACTCAGACTATCTCAAGGTAGAGGAGCAGCTATATGGAGGGTGTGTGTTACAACGTTTAAAGGTAAATGAACAAGTCACTGACACCTAAGTCAAAAATTTTCAGTTGGGAAAACACTGGACACCCCTAAAAAGCCTGGGAGGAAAAGCTAGGAGATGACATGCTTTGAGGAATAAGGGAGTTAGAAGGTTCCACATATTTTTAGAGTCCAGAAAGCCCCCGTGCATGTCTATGATGGGGCACTGGCTCAGAAAAGAGCTGAGAAGCTCTCATTGCTCACCTCTGGCTGAACCTCAGGCTCTGAGCAAGCAGGAAGTGAAGGTGCAAGCAGGAAGTGAAGGTGCAAGCAGGAAGTGAAGGGGAAGGCAGAGTCACAAACTCCCCAGCCGAGTGCTGAAGGCGTGGACCAACATACAGAGCCCAGCTACAAACCCTGAAGAAAAATAAGTTTTTGATTCCAGGGGTTTAAGGAACTCTCTGTCAAATTACTATCTCAGCACTAAGCTAATAGAACAGTGAGCACACATGGTGAAGAAACTATTTTTAAAAACTGACAGAAACAAACAAAAACAACCACAATCCACAACAATCAGCAACAGCAAACTGCGCAGAGGGAGGAGAGCCTGATACCCAGAAATATCCCTTTGTAATTGTCACTGTGCAGTTTTCACCAGAGGCATGTGCCATGCAAAGCAGCAAGAAATATAAGCTACTCATGAGGAGGAAAAGCAATTAATGGAAAATCTTCCTGAGGAAGCCCAGAATTGGACTTATTAGACAAAGCCTTTCAATCAACTCTCTTAAACATGTTTAAAAAACTAAATACAATCACAGACAATGAATTAAGATAAACCAGGAGAATGATACCTCACCAAATAGAGAATATCAATAAAGAGATAGGAGGAAATTTAAAAAGAAATTAAATAGAAGTTCTGGAATTGGAAAGTACAGTCACTGAAATAAATAACTCATGATATGGTTTCAACAGCAGATTTTAGCAGCTATAAGAATTAGTGAACAAGAAGATAGATCCATTGAAGTATTCTTGTCTGAGGAGTAGATGAGAAAATGAGGAGCAGATGAGAGAATGAAGAAAAATAAACAAATCTGAAAAGACCTGTGGGACACCATCAAGCATACCAACACACTTAGCAGGATTTCCAGTTGGAGGGGAGACAGTGGGAGCAGAAAAAATAGTTGAAGAAATAATGGCCCAAACTTCCAGAATTGAGGAAACACATCAATCTAACTCAGAGGGATTCACATAAAAACACAGTATAATCAAACTCTCAAAAGTCAAAACAAAGAGAGAATGTAAAAAGCAGTGGGACGGAAGACTAACAGCGGATTTCTCATCAGAAACCATGGAGGCCAGAACGCGTTGGGATGACATATTTAACATGCTGGGTTTGGGCACAGGGGTGGGGAGCACCCAACAACCAAAAAGACGTCTTCATCTGGCAAAGTGATCCTTCAAAAGTGAAGAAGTAACACATTTTGAGGTAAATAAAACCTGAGAGCTCGTTGCTGAAAGATGTCCCTTACAAGAAATGCTATTTCAGGCTGAAATACAAAGGCAGTCGATAGTAAGCTAAAGCAATATGAATGAAGAAAGGTCAACAGCAAAGGTAGCCATGTTGGTAGTTTGTATGTTTATAGGAGTTTTTCCATTACATCTTGGTTATCTAATTTGTTGGGTACAAATATTCATAGTATTCCTTTATAATTATTTTTATTAACGTAAGGTCAGTAGTGATGTTCCCATTTTCATTTACGATTTTAGTTATTTGAATCTGTCTTCCTTTAATCAGTCTAGACAGAGGTTTGTCAAATCTGTTGCTCTTCTCAAAGAACCAACTTTTTTGTTCCTTGATTCGATTGATTTTTAAAATTTCTATTCCATTTATCTGCACTCTAGTCTTTATTTTCTACCTTCTGCTAAATTTGGATTCACTTTGCTCTTTTTCTAGTTCCTTAAGGTGTAAAGTTAAATTAATGATTTGAGATGTTTCTATTTTTTTATGTAAGCATTCCTAGCTATCAATTTCCCTCTATGTACTGCCTTCATTGCATCTCGTTAAGTTTTGGGTTACTGTGATTTCTTTCTCATTCCTTTCCAAGAGTTTTCTATCTTCTCTTTGAATTCTCCTTTGACCAATTGGTTGTTTGAAAGTGTGCTATTAGGTTACACATATTTGTGAATTCCAGCTTTTCTTTTGTTACTGATTTCTAGTTTCCTTCCATTGTAATCAGAGAAGATACTCTGTATGATTCAAATCAATTTAGATTATTGAGGCTAGTTTTGTGGCCTAAGGTAAAATCTAATCTGAAGAATGTCCCATGTGAACTTGAGGAGAGTGAGTTTTCTGCTGTAGTTGGGTTGTGTGTTTTTGCACATATCTGTTAGACCCAGTAGATTTATGTCATTTTTCAAGTCCTCTATTTCCTTATTGAATAAAAATTTAGTTCTGTTATTTTATACTTTTTTAAATTAGAGAGAATGGCTTATTGAAGTCTCAAACTCTTACTGTAGAACTGGAACTGTCTATTTCTTTCTTCAAATCTGTCCATTTTTGTTTCATATACATTGGTGATCTGATGATAAACATGTATATATTTATAATTGATATATCTTATTGATGGATGGACATTAATCACTACATAATGTCCTGTGGGCCCAGCCCCCGCCGATCAGTCTGCTCCAGCTTCTGTATGACAGTGGCTTCCTCATCAGGCTCCTTTCCTGGCCTATGGCTGGCCCCTCCCCAGTAGGGCCATCATGTCCCCAGGTAACATCCACGTGGCCCCCTGGGCAGCACATATCATTCCTCAGTTGCTCTCACTAGAAGCCAATACTTCAGGCCCCACTTCCTAAGGTCTGGAAAATTATGGCAGCCTAATAAAACAAGCTGATAAATTTAAGACTGGTATTATTTCTCTCCCAGTTGTTTGAGAATATTCAGCAGGGAAAGTATTTGGGTCTGTAGTTGGCTCTGTAGGAAAGCTTTTGATGTTAGATTCAAGTTATTTAATCAATATGGGATATTTGTATTTTTGTTCCTTTTGTGTGGATTCGGTGTCTTGACAAATATAGACAGTTGTGTCTCCACCAACGCAATCAATACATAGACTCCTCTCATCATCCCATACATTTCCCTCATGGCCATTTGTAGTCATTCCACATCCCCATCCTAGTCCCTGGCAGCCACTGACATTTTTTTTGGTCCCTTTACAATTACCTTTTCCAAAATGTTATATGCATGGAACCCCATGGTGCTTAGTATTTTGCCATATAACATAAGACTTAAATAGACCCTTCCCTAAAGAGCAGGTACAGATGGCAAATAAATACATGAAAACATGCTCCACATCATGAGTCATCAGGGCAATACAAACTTAAACCCCAAAGGACTCTCTCTGTATAGCTGTGTTGACTAAAGTAACAACACATCTGCTGTGCAGGACTGGCAAGAATGTGGGGCTTTGCTGATACGTTTGAGCTTAAACCTCCCATCTCATTTTGGTTTTTGCTTACGCAAGGAATCTACTCCCTTTTATCTCCTTGCTTTACTGCTTTTGGATCTAGTGTTTTGAGATTTTTTATGCCCCCATCTTCCCCTCACTGTATTAGTTCCTTGGGCTGCCACATCAAATGTCACCAAAAAAGTGACTTATAAGAGTGGAAATTTATTATCTCGCAGTTCTTAGGGCCAGGCACCTGAAATGAAGATATCCACAGGGCCATGCTTTCTCTTAGCTCCAAGGGAGACTCTGTCCTTGCTGCTTCTAGTTTCTGGTGCTCCCAGCAAACCTTGGCGTCCCTTGGCTTATAGCTGCCTCATGACAATCTTTGCCTTGGCTGTCATACGCCGTCTTCCCTTTGTGTGTGTGTTTGAACTTCCTTCTCCTTTCTCTGATAAAGACATTAGTCATTGGATTTAAGGTTCACTATAACCCGGTATGACCTCATTTTAACTAATTTCATCTACAAAGACCCTATTTCTATGTAAGGTCACATTGTGAGTGACATGGTTTGGTTGTATGGCCCTGCCAAATCTCATGTTGAAATGTGATCTCCACTGTTGGAGGTGGGGCCTTGGGGGAGCTATTTGACTCATGGGAGCGGATCTCTCATGACTTAGTAGTGCTGTCCTTGTGATAGTGAGGGAGTTCTGGCAAGATCTGGTTAAGCGTGTAGCACCTCCCATCCCCCACTCTCTTTCTCTTGCTACTCTTTTGCCATGTGACATGCCCACTCCCCCTTCACCTTCCACCATGAGCAAAGCCCCCTGAGGCCTCCCCAGAAGCTGAGCAGATGCCAGCGCCATGTTTCCTGTACAACCTGCAGAACCATGAGCCAACTAAACTTTCGTCTTATAAATTACCCAGTCTCAAATATTTCTTTATAGCAATGCGAGACCAGCTTAACACAGTGAGGTTCTGGGTGGATATGACTTTTGGGGAGGCAAGATTCAACCCACTACACTCATCTACTTCCTCCTGAGTTGTATATTCTTTCATTACTCTAGTGGAGATTACAACATGAATCTATGACTTTTTAAAGTCTAATGTAAATTAGATCTTATATTATTTCCCAGATAGTATAGTGTACTAAGACTGCTTTAACTTCATGTAGCCCCCTCCTGAATTTTGTGATCTTCTTGCCATGTATTTCATTTCTATAAATATTTTACAACTTCTAAGACATCTTATACAGTAAATATTCATTTAGATTTCCCCATGTTGTCCTCCTTTTGTTACACTTCATTTCCTTTTCGACTTCTTGCTTCCATCTGTGATCATTTTCATTCTGCCTAATTATCTTTTTATTTTCTGTAGTGCAGATCCTACTGGTGACACAACCTCTCAGCATCCAGAGAACATCATTTTCCTGTCCTCATTTTTGAGGATCTTCTTCCCAGGTGTAGAATTCTAGCTTGGTGCTTCTTTTCTTTCAGACAGTAAATATATCATTCCATCATCCTCTGGCTGCCATCATTTCTACTGAGAAGTCATCTGTAAATGCTATTGTTGCTTCTTTAAAGGTAATATTTCTTTTTTTTTCCCTTGGCTGTTTTTAAATTTTTCTCTGTCTTTGGATTTCAGCCCCAATATGCACAGGCATGGTTTCCTTTGTATTCACCTTGCTAAACATTCTTAAATGCTTTTTGCATCTATGGGTTAATGTTTTTCATCACTTTAAACTTCTTGTCTATTAAACCTTCAAATATTTTACTACCCTTATTTTACTCATCTCCTCCTATGATTTCAACCATTTATATTCATAATTATTTACAACATAAGGGCATGCTTACTACTCCACTTTCTTCATTTCCCTCTTTTCTTTCCCATCTCTGTACTCAGGGCTGAATTTCCTCATCTCCCTTTCTTCACTAATCTTCTCTTTGGTTTTGTCTAATATGTTGTCTAGCTAATCTACTTAGTTCTTAATTTCAGCTATTATGTTCATTTCCAGAATTTCTGTTTGATTCCATTTCATAAATCTAGTTTGACACTGAAATTCTCCATTTGTCCTCTGGTTTTTTGAGCAAGCTAATCAGCATTATTTTAAATTCCAGTTTGACAATTCTAATATCTAAAGGTCCTGTGTATCTGTTTCTCTTGTTTGCTTTTTCCTCTTGGTCCTTTGGTCAGTTGGTTTGTCTTCTAGTAGCCCTAGTAATTTTTGACTGAATCCAGGACTTCATGAAAATTTCCAAGATGATTTGAGCCTCTGTTGATGCTGCTGTCTCCAGAAGAGATCACTTTTGTTTCTGGGAGGCACTTAGGCTACAGGCAGATCATATGAGTTCAATACGAGCTGATTTAAAGGTGGGCTTCATTCTTCTTTCCGTTTTTTCCTTCATCCTAGGGCGTAATCCTTCACTTATATTCACTGTTTCCAACTGACAGTCTGTTGTTGTTGTTGTTTTACCAGAATCCCTCCTCCTTGTCAGGTCCTGAACTCTATGTTTTTGTCTTCCAATTGTATGAGACTACTAAAAGCTGTGCTCAGCCTCAGCCTCATGGCTGTAGTCTGTGAATCAGTAAATGCCTCAATAAGAAAATCCAGAAGAAATATTAGACTCACTTCTGTGCACTTTCCCTCTAATAGGGATTCACTCACTCAAGTCTCAGCTGTCTTGGTGACTCCTGGTGCCCTCAAATAGAGATTTTGTTTGTTAAACCAGGTTTCCTAACTTTTCTCAGCTAGATGGCCAGTCTGATGTCAGCCAATTCCCCACACACAAAAGCAGAACTTGACAGAGAGTTTTATACAGCATAAGAAAAAGGTAGCATAATGGAATCGTTTTCAGAGGTCAAAATTACTCTTCGATAATTTCTCCAAAAACATTTATTATTTCAGCCCATTTTTATGAAGGATCTTCCCTATTCCAGGCATTATTTTAGGCCCTCAGAGACTGAGTGGTGAACAAGACAACCACACTTCCTGCCCACATGAAGCTTACCTTTGAAGAATGGGAGCTGAGCACAGCAAAGAAAATGAGCATGAAAAGTTAGGAGACTTGGCACAGAAATACTGATGATGGGCCACGCACGGTGGCTTACGCCTGTAGTCCCAGCAATTTGGGAGGCCAAGGCAGGAGGATCACTTGAGCCCAGGAGTTCAAGACCAGCTGGGCAACATAGCAAGACTCTGGTCTCTACAAAAAAAATTTTTTTTTACAAAAAGAAATATTGATAATGGGACTTGAATTATCTATGATTGAAGCGTATCATAAAGCTATGGCCTGAAAGAGCAGAACCAAATCCATAGCCCAAAATGGACCAGTTCAAAACTTTTCTATCCTGTCTGAAACCCAGTCCTATCCCCAGCGTTCCCACATGCAAGTCTGAGTGGACCTCGGGGAAGGCCGCGGGGAGCGGCATGGCCTCTCTTTCCTTGCTCCCCTTCTCCCTGTTTTGGGCTCTAATTTCTTCAGTGATGGGGACGGGGGAAGGAATGTGCAGGGCCACCACTGTGGGGCTCACTGGCCACTGCTGCACCTTCTCTCCGGCTGCTCCAGTGATCCTGTGCTTCTACCAGCTGCTTCTGCCTCTTCAGTGAGGACCCACTTTAGAGACACCCCCAGGGACAGTAGCTGGAGGACTCTCTCCCTGGGACACCACACTTTGCGTAAGACTGAAGGGCCACCCCTGCCTCCACAGCCTCCTTCTTACAACCTGGGCAGCACTGGTGGGGTGTGGCAGCTGGCCATAGCTGGTCAACTTCTGTCTTATTTTAGAAACCCTGTGGGGACAGGTCTGACCCAGAATGTTAGCATTATTTTTAGAATGAGAGGCCGTTTCCAGCTTTGCCAGATTCACAGCAACAAAGACGTTCTACTCAACATCGTGTAATACGTCTTACTTTATAATGAAATATGCGTATGTGTACTTGAATTTTTAAATAAAAATGTGAAATCACAATCAATATTATAATTAGCTGCTGGGTAGCAATGTTCCTGGAAAGTGATCAGGGCCATTTTATAAGGCAAGAAGCTCGGGACTTCATCATGCCCTGTGGTGATAACAATTCATCATCAAAGATCATGCAGCCGTGAGAGTTGCCTGTGGCTGACCTGGGGGTGTGTGATGGGGCCTGTGGGCAGGGCTGGTGAGAAAAAGATGCTTGCAGTGCAGGGCACACGGAGGAGATGGCTCCAGCAGTGGCGAGGGCTGGCGGCTGCCTGCTGCCTAGCACAGCTACTTCACGGGTTCAGAACCCGAAACCACAGCCCACGATGCTGCCATTGTGCCTCAGCAAGGAGTGGGCTGAGCCCACGATCCCTGCCCTGGAACAGAGTCCTGCTGCCTCCCAAGCAAAGGACAGGGTGGGCAATGAACAGAGGGCAGGAGGCACAGAGGCCATGGGGATTAGAAATTGGCGAGTCCTGTGTCCTACAGCAGGGGAAGGACCATACTAGAGGAGGAGTTTGCACCACAGGAAATAATTCCTAAGGGCCGGCTTCCTGCAGAGGAAGCCCGTGTCCTGAGGCTGCTGGGGCCAGTGGCTGGACGATGCCCCAGCAACCAAAGATGGCCCCAGGCACATCCCACCCACATCCCACCCACCAGACGCCCACAGCCGTCCTTGCCTCCAGAACCCAGCTGGGATCAGGCCCACCCCAACTCCTGCCCCTGAGGTTCCACATGCAACAGACTATAGCCCAGGTGTGACAGGAGATTTGTGAGCTGGGCAATGTCACCAGCAAACAAACATCCCTAATCATGGCAGACGCCGCCTCTCAGCAACAAGGAAGGGGAAGCTGTGGGCCCTGGAACAACAAGGCCAGGAGGGGTATAAAAGCCTGAGAGCCCCAAGAACCTCACACACTCACAAACTCACTCACTGACACACTCACACACTCACTTACACCTCCCCCAGCTCACCTCCTCCCCACCCCAGCATGGCCGCGTCCACCATGTCCATCCGCTCCAGCGCTTACTCCGACTCCTGGCAGGTGGACGACTGCCCAGAGAGCTGCTGTGAGCCCCCCTGCTGCGCCACCAGCTGCTGCGCCCCGGCCCCCTGCCTGACCCTGGTCTGCACCCCAGTGAGCCGTGTATCCAGCCCCTGCTGCCAGGTGACCTGTGAGCCCAGCCCCTGCCAATCAGGCTGCACCAGCTCCTGCACGCCCTCGTGCTGCCAGCAGTCTAGCTGCCAGCCGGCTTACTGCACCTCCTCCCCCTGCCAGCAGGCCTGCTGCGTGCCCGTCTGCTGCAAGCCTGTGTGCTGCGTGCCCGTCTGCTGTGGGGCTTCTTCGTGCTGCCAACAGTCTAGCTACCAGCCAGCTTGCTGTGCCTCTTCCTCCTGCCAGCCGGCCTGCTGTGTGCCCGTCTGCTGCAAACCTGTGTGCTGTGCGCCCACCTGCTCTGAGGATTCCTATTCATGCTGCCAACAGTCTAGCTGCCAGCCAGCTTGCTGCACTTCCTCCCCCTGCCAGCAGTCCTACTGTGTGCCTGTCTGCTGTAAGCCTGTCTGCTGCAAACCCATCTGCTGTGTGCCTGTCTGCTCTGGGGCTTCCTCTTTGTGCTGCCAGCAGTCTGGCTGCCAGCCGGCTTGCTGCACCACCTCCTGCTGCAGACCCTCCTCCTCTGTGTCCCTCCTCTGCCGCCCTGTGTGCAGGCCCGCCTGCTGCGTGCCCGTCTCCTCCTGCTGTGCCCCCACCTCCTCCCGCCAGCCCAGCTATTGCCGCCAGGCCTCCTGTGTGTCCCTTCTCTGCCGCCCTGTGTGCTCCCGCCCGGCCTGCTACAGCTTCTCCTCAGGCCAGAAGTCCAGCTGCTGACGGTCATGTCCCCCAGGGCCAGCCGGGCTCAGGCCCCACCTCCCTGCCAGTCCTTGGACCTCCCAGCCCACCCAGCCTCAGCACAGCTCAACACAGAAGGAGCAGCCCCAGCCACAGCCGCCCAGCCCCGGGGTCTCAGATGCTCACTGGCTCCTCCCTGACCTCCCCCCCGGGCAGGCGAGCCCTGGCTTCTCCTCACGGTGCTTCCTGGCTGCAGACCACAACCCTCCGCTGGTCGCTGGTTGGGGACGGGCCCTCCTGACCCGGGTCTCACCCCCAGCAGCGTCACCCTCTGCCCCTGAGCACCAATAAAGCGTCTGCGGCCCCAGCTGACTCCGTGCTGACTCTCCGCACCCAGGGCGGGAGGGGGCAGAGTGGGGCCTGGCCTGGCTCTGGGGGGCTGGGCCCCGTGGATCTCTTTACTTCCCCAGCTGGGGGGCCTCGGGGGGCTCTTGTGTGACACCTGGAAGCTCCTGTCCACCTCGTGGCACGTTCTGCTGTCCGGCTCCCCTCCCAGGTCCTGTGGGGCCCAAAAGCCTTGTTCACTGGCTGAGTCCCACAGACACCACGTGACTCAGGCTAATGCCCCACTCACTGTGGGTAGAAGCAGCTCCTTCCCATGGCAAGGGTTGGGGCTGTCCCGGGGGGTGGCAGGCCCCAGCTGTGCTGGGAGGTGGGAGACGGGCGGTGGGGGGTGGGTGTGGAGACTTGGGCTCCAGCTGTCCCAGCACTCAGGAGTTCCACTCGGAGAGAGCTTGGCCATCCTGGCCTCCTGTGGACACTCACAGACGCTCAGGGATGGCCCCTGCTCCAGCCCTGGGCTTGCCGCTGGGATGCAGAGCAGAGAACAGACACGTGGTCTCCAGAGCTCCCTGTGCTGGGCTGGGTGGGTGGAGGGCCGGTGGGAACAGGAAGGTCTCAGGGCGGCGATGACAGAGGAGTCCCAGGACAGTGTGGGAATGTGTCCAGACCAGACAGCAGGAAGGAGGCCTCCTGGGGGTAGTTTCTTAGCTCCTGCCATGGGAGACAGGCAGATGGCCAGAGCCACACTGTCCCCTCCAGTCCTCACCCACACCCCCCACACTGGTGACCCGGGGCTGCGATGCCGCCCACTCTTCTCGCCTTAGGAGAGCATAGTCGGGTTTGGGGGCCTCGGCCATACCCTGTGGGCACAAAGGACCCCCACACCTGAGAGGAGCTGCATGTGTCAGCTCAGGCTGCTGTGACAAAGTCCACGGACTGGGGGCTCGAGCCACATACATGGGGTCCCTCACAGTCCTGGGGCTGGAAATTGAGGCCCAGGTGTGGCAGGGCTGGTTCCCGAAGACTCTCTCTTGGGCTTGCAGACACAGTCTTCTCCCTGTGTCCTTACGGGGCTGTCCCTCTGTGTGTGTCTCTGCCCTCATCTCCTCTTCTCAAGAGGACACCAGTCATTGGATTAGGGCCCATCCATAGGACCTTAACTTAGGACTTCAACATGTGAATTCGGGGGCATCACAAGTCAGCCCATATCAGGGGGCTCTGGCTTTGGCCCTTGAGGCAGGAGTGAGGGTGGCAGTGAGGCCACCTGTGCCTCGAAGATCCCCAGTGGGGCCTGGCTGGGGCAGACGCTCCCTGTCCATAAACTGCAGCGATGGACATTTGGACAGAGACACGACCCTCGGGGAAATTCTGCTCACATGGACTCCTTCACCTGCTGAACAACGCTGTCCAGAGGCCTCAGACACCCACCAAATGGTTCCTGTTTAGGCATCCTGTTGTCCCCAGTGCCTGGCTCATAAGGGGAACTCTCACTGGTCCCACCGCAGGAGGCACGGCTCGCTTCCAGAAGGGGAAGGTGGGGATGGAGCGCAGGCCAGGCAGCTGTGCTGGAAGAGACAGGCCACACAGGGATGGGTGCAGGGAAAGTGGGGGCCACAGGGCTGTCGCGGGGGTCAGGAGCATCTTGCACAGGCTTCCTGAGTGGTATGGAGAGTGACCTAGGGCTTCAGGGGCCGTGGTACACACACTCACAGTGATAGAAACCAACTCAGGATTTAGGAATGGGAGTTCTTGGAGACCTTGATGAGGGGCTTTCCAGTCACATTCTGTGGGCAGGGGCATCCTGTGGTGGGCAGAGGGGGAACAAGCACTGGGGAAGTGAAATGTGAAGGTAAATAATTTCTTCTCTAAAGATCTAACAGAACAAGGCAGGAGAGGAGCACAGTAGTGACGGCTTCCTGAAGGACTAACACACAGGGCTTGCCTTATTTCGCCAACTCAGATTCCCTCCAGCCAGAGAAGCAGCTACACAGAGGCTTGGTCAGAACATTTAAAGGCAAATGAACCAGTCACTGCCACCTGGACAAAGGATATCAGTTGAGAAAACAATGGACACCCCAAAAAACCTGGGAGGAAGAGCTGAGAAATTAGATGCTTTGGGAAATAAGGGCATTGGAAGATTCCACATATTCTTGGGAGTCTATAAGGCCCCCATGCATGCCCATGATGGGGCACAGAAAAGACCTGAGAGGCTCTCAGTGCTCACCTCTGGCTGAACTGCAGGCTCTGAGCAAGCAGGAAGTGAAGGGGAGGGCAGGAAGTGAAGGGGAGGGCAGGAAGTGAAGGGGAAGTGAAGGGGAAGGCAGGAAGTGAAGGGGAAGTGAAGGGGAAGGCAGTCGCAAACCGCCCAGGTGAGCACTGAGGGTGTGGACCAACACACAGAGTCCAGCTATAAAGACTGGGAAAAAAACATCTTTTGACTCCAGGTGTTTAAGAAACTCTGTCTAATTACTATCTGAGCACTAAGCAAATGGAATAGTGACCCCCTTCATGACAAAGAGTATAGTCATTACTAAAATAGTTTAGGAAAGTCACTTAAAAACAAAACAAAACTACTAGCCACACAACCAGCAACAGCAAACCACAGGGAAGAGGGAGAATGTGCCATCCAGAATTATCAAATTATAATATTCCAAATGTCCAGTTTTCAACAAAAATTATGAGGCATGCAAAGAAGCAAGAATGTATGGTTCATTCGCAGTAAAGAAAGAAAAAAAAGCCAAGTAGTGAAAAATGTCCTTGAAGAAGCCCAGGATTGAATTTACTCGACAAAGTCTTTCCATTAACTCTTTTAAATATACTCAAAGAGCTAAAGGAAACCATGACAAAAGAACAAAGAGAAACTAAGAAAACAACATCTCAACCAAGAGAGAATATCAATAAAGAGAGAGATTATAAAGAGGAATCAAATAGAAATTCTGGAGTTGAAAAGTATAATAACTGATATGAAAATTTCACTAGAGAAGTCCCACAGCCGATTTGAACAGACAGAAGGAAAAATTAGAGAACAGGTAGATAGGTCAAGTGAAATACTCCAGTCTGAAGGGCATAAAAACAAAAAGAGGCCGAGCGTGATGGCTCACACCTGTAATCCCAGCACTTTGGGAGGCTGAGGCAGGCAGATCATTTGAGGTTGGGAGTTTGAGAACGGCCTGGGGCAACATAGTGAAACCCTGTCTCTACTAAAAATAAAATAAATAAATAAATAGCTGGGCGTGGTGGCTCATGCCTGTAATCTCAGCTACTCGGGAGCCTGAGGCAGGAGAATCACTTGAACCTGGGAAGCGGAGGTTGCAGTGAGCCAAGATCATGCCACTGCACTCCAGCCTGAATGACAGAGTGAGACTCCATCTCAAAACAAACAAAAACAAAAGAATTTTAAAACTGAACAGAGTTTAACTGGCCTGTAGGACAACATCAAACATACCAACAGCACACTTAACAGCAGTGTCAGAAGAAGAGCAGAGAGAGAATGGAGCACTCAAAACTATTTGAAGAAAAATGATAGAGACAGAAAGTAAAATGGTGGTTGCCAGGTGCCTGGGGGGAGGAGGAGGAATGTGGAGTTAGTGTTTAATGGGGACAGAGTTTCAGTTTTCCAAGATGAAAAGTTTTGAAGACGGATGGTGGCAATGACCGCACTGCATTATGAATGTATTTAATATCACTGAACGGTACACTTAAAATGGGATAAATTTCACGTGTATTTAACTACAATAATTTTTTAAATATTTGAAGTAATAATGACCAAAAACTTCCCAAATATGATGAAACACATTGAATCTACACATTCAAGAAGCTCCATGAGCTTCAAGTAGAATAAACTCAAAAAGATCCACACAGAAACACAAAATTAAATTATTGAAAGCCAAAGACAAAACAAGAATCTTGAAAGCAGGAAGAGAGAAGATTAACAGCCAATTTCTCTTCAAAAACCATGAAGAACAGAAGGCAATGGGATGATGTACTTAAAGTGCTGAAAGAGAAAAAAACTGTCCACCAAGAAGTCTGTGTCCAATGAAATGATTCTTTGAAACTAAAGGAGAAATTAGGACACTTCTGGATAAATAAATGCTGAGAGAGTTTATTGCCAGTAGGCCTGCCCTACAAGAAATGACAGCTCAGGATGAAATCAAAGGGCACTAGACAATAACTTGAAGCCATATTAAGAAATAAAGAACTGGCTGGGCACAGTGGCTCACGCCTGTAATCCCAGCACTTTGGGAGGCTGAGGCGGGCAGATCAGAAGGTCAAGGGTTTGAGACCAGCCTGGCCAACATAGTGAAACTCCATCTCTGCTAAAAATACACACACAAAAAAAAATAGCTGAGTGTGGTGGTGGGCACCTGTAATCCCAGCTAGTTGGGAGGCTGAGGCAAGGAGAATCACTTGAACCTGGGAGGCAGAGGTTGCAGTGAGCCAAGATCGTGCCACTGCTCTCCAGCCTGGGTGGCAGTGCAAGACTCCATCTCAAAAAGAAAAAGAAGAAAAGAAATAAAGAACACTAATAAAGGTATCAGTTTTGGTAGTTTGTATGTTAATAGGAATTTATCCATTACATCTAGGTTATCTACATTATGAATGTATTTAATATCACTAAACATGCTTAAATGGAATAAATTTTATTGATTTTATGTGTTAGTGTACAATTGTTCATATATTCTCTTATAGTCTTTTTTATCTATATAGGTCAGCAGTAATGTTCCCACTTTCATTTCTGATTTTAATAATTAGAGCCTTCTCTTTTTTCTCAGTCTAGTTAAAGGTTTGTAAATTTTATTGTTGCTTTCAAAAAACTAATTTTAGGCTTCGTTGGTTCCATTGTTTTTCTATTCTCAATTTCTTTATTTGCTCCCTGTATTCTACATATAATCTTTATTTTCTTCCTTCTTCTAGGTTTTGGTTTAGTTTGCTCTTCCTTTTCCTGGTTCCTTAAGGTGTGAAGTTAGATTACTGAATTGAGATCTTTCTTGTTTTTTAATATAAGCATTTATAGCTACAAATTTCCCTCCATAAACTGTTTTGCCGTATCCCATAAGTTTTGGTTTGTTATATTGTCACTGTCATTTATCCCATAGTATTTTCTAACTTCTCTTTTGATTTATTCTTCAATCAACTGGTTGTTATAAGTATGTGTTGTTTAATTGCCACATATTTGTGAATTTTCCAGTTTTCCTTCTGTTATTGATTTCTAATTCCCACTGTGGTCAGAGAAGATACATTATATGATTTCAATAATTTTAAATTTATTGAGACTTGTTTTTTGGACTAACATATGGTCTAATCTGGAGAACTGAGAAGAATTTGTATTCTGCTGTTGTTGGGTTGAATGTTTTATACACGGCCATATTAGATCTAGCTTGTTTATAGTGTTCTTCAAGTTCTCTATTTCGTTATTGATCTTTGATCTAGTTCTATTTAAAAATTTTTTTTAATCAGTGGAAGTGACTTATTGAAGTCTTCAAACATTATTGTTGAACTGGAATTGCCTATTTCTTTCTTCTCTTCTTTCCATTTATGCTTGATATATCTTGGGGGTCTGATGTTTGTTAGGTACATGAATGTTTATAACTGATGTTAGGTACACAAATGCTATAAAATGATGGCTTATGCCTGTAATCCCAACTACTCAGGAGGTTGAGATGAGAGGATTGTTTAAGGCCAAGAGTTCGAGACCAGCCTGGGTAACAGAGTAAGACCCTGGTCCCTAAAAAAATATGTTTTTTCATTAGCCAAATATAGTGGTGTGCACCTGTAGTCCCAGCTACCTGGGAAACTGAGGTGGGAGGATCACTTAAGTCCAGGAGTTTGAGGCTGCAATGAGTTATGATTGTGCCACTGCACTCCAGCCTGGGCAACAGGCTGAGCAATACCCTGTCTCTGTTTTAATGGTGCTAGGACAACTGGATATCTACACACAAAATCATAAAGTTGCACTACATCTCACACCAACAAATTAACTAAAAATGGATCAAAGCCCTACATATATGAGATAAAGCCATAAAATTCTTAGAAGGAAACATAAGAGTAAATATGTATGACCTTATTTTGGGCAATGGTTTTTTAGATATGACACCAGAAGCATAAGCAACAAAAGGAAAAAATAGATAAATTGGATGTCATCAAAATTAAAAAGTTTTGTGCATCAAAGGACACTATCAAGAGAGTAAAACAACCCACACAAGGGAAGAACATGCTTGTAAATCATAATTCTGATAAGGATCTAACACCCAGAATATATAAAGAACTCTTATAATTCAACAACAAAAAGTCAACCCAATTTAAAAATAGGCAAAGTCCTTTAATAGACATTTCTCCAAGGAGGATATGCAAATGGATGATACACGCAGGAAAAGAAGCTCAATGTTATTGGTCATTAGGGAAACAGAAATCCACACCACAATGACATGCTGTTGATACTTCATACCCACCAAGATGGCTATAATTTAACACACACATACACCAACAAATAGAAGGTAGCAGATGTTGACAAGGATGAAGAGAAACTGGAATGTTTGTACATTGCTAGTGAGAATATAAAATGGTACAGATGCTGTGAAAAACAGTCTGGCACGTCCTCAAAATGTAAACATGGAATTCCATACAACTCATCAGTTCCCACTCCTAGGTATATACCCAACAGAATTAAAAAGAGGTGTTCAAACAGAAACATGTACAAGAATGTTTATAGGGCCGGGCGCAGTGGCTCATGCCTGTAATCCCAGCACTTTGGGAGGCCGAGGCGGGAGGATCACTTGAGGTCAGGAGTTCAAGACCAGCCTGGCCAACATGGTGAAACCCCGTCTCTACCAAAAATATAAAAAATTAGCTGGGTGTGGTGGTGCGCACCTGTAATCCCAGCTACTTGGGAGGCTGAGGCAGGAGAATCACTTGTACCCGGGAGGTGGAGGTTGCAGTGAGCCGAGATGGGGCCACTGCACTCCAGCCTGGGTGACAGAGGGAGACTCTGTCTCAAAAAAAAAAAAAAAAAAAAAGAATGTTTATAGAAGCACTATTCACACTAGCCAAAAGTTGAAAAGAACCCAAAAGTGCATTAGCAGATGAATGGATAAATGAAATGTGGCGTGTCCCTTTGATGGAATATGATTCAGCCAAGAAAAGGAATGGCGTTCTGAAACATACCCAAACACAGGTGTACCTTGAAAACATGCTGAGTGAACAAAGCTAGACACAAAGACCACATATTCCATGACTGCGTCTATATGAAATGTGCAGAACAGGCAAATCCATAGAGACAAGCAGAATAGTATTGGTTGCCAGGGGCTGGGCATGGCTGCTTAATAGTACCGGGGTTCCTTCGGGAGCGATGATAGTATTCTGGAACTAGGTAGTGGGGATGGTTGCACAACATTATGACTGTACTGTCACTGAATTGCACACTTTAAAATGGGTAAAATGGTACATTTTATTTTATGGTTGATCACAATTTAAATAAAATTACACCTGCCAAGGGTTTCTAAGAATGAAGCCCCTCGCTCTGCAATGCTGGATATTATCAGCATTTTAAATCTTGTTTGCTCTTACAGGTGGGAGACGTGTGTTTAAACCTGAGAAACTTTAGTTATTAATGAGATCAACTAGCTGTTCATCTCATTCATGCTTATTGGAAATTTAAAATTTTTAGTCTTCTATTCATTTCTTTTGTATCTTATCCTGTTTTAGTGGTAAGGACTTCAAATTTTTCACATTAATCTTCCACCTGTCATGGAGATTACAAGTACTTTCTGGCAGTTCATATCTTCATTTGTGTACCCAATGATTCCTTCAGGGCTGTGATGGGAACGTCGTGGATGCTGAGCTGAGCTGAGGCATGTGGACCGGTCTCCAGCACCCAACCCTGCCGGGTTTCCAGGGGACATACGTTGTATGTGTTCTGGTCAAGGTTTATGCTTTCGTTCACATCTGACCCTCTGACATTCCACTGGGCATTTTATACTTGGGTCTGCTGGCTGACGGGCTTCCTTTCCCATTGTATTTCCACACTGTCATGGCAGGGGTACAGGTAGGGGGTGCTGGGTGCAGTGACTTTGTCTCTCATCCAGCCCTTCAGTGAGCGTGGCCTGGGACAGTCACTCTGATCCTAGGTGGACAATGATGTCACCTACAGATACTAGAAATTCACATCACATTTCAACTTCTTGGCATGTGGCTTCAGCCAAAGTGCAAACATAGAGTAAGACCAGGCGTCCGGGCAGTGGGGCTGACTGTGGCCCCATCTGACACTTTTCTCATCCAGACCCCAAGTATCCTCCACTCTCCACGCAACCCTCACTCCACACCTGCCTCTCCAAGGTAGAGGCCCCTCCCCACCCTCAGACCCTGACCTGCACCCGCCCCTCTCAGGACACCTGACCAGGGCTCCAGGGGATGGCAGTCCAGACCCAAAGGCCAGTCCCCAAACCTTGTCCTCCTAATGAGCTGACTGTCCAGAGGCCTTGCCAGAACATTCCATCTCCTCAGAGGAGGGGAGGTCCTCCCTGTCCTCCTGCCCTTGGCAGACATCAGGATCTCAGAAGATCCCAGAGCCCGCCAGGAAGCGCTGTCTTCAAGCATCTTTTCCCAACACAGGCACCTCCGTCCTGGCTCTCCCAATCTCAGCCACGCCAGCCCACCCCGTGAGGTCCCTGCAGACAGAGGCTGGGCCTCCCCCAGGCTGAGGGCCCACGCTGGGCACAGTCACGGGACCTGCCAGGTGGAAGTCACCAGGTCAGCCCCAGAGAGGTCACACCTTCCCTCCTGGTGTTCCCGGGAGACAGGCTCAGCCAGGGGCGCCGGTCCTGCCCAGGACCAGCCAAGTGTTAGGAGCAGAGTGAGGACAAGTCATGGCAAAGGAAGCAGAAATAATGAGGGTCCTCCCGGCTCCAAACACCAACACGGAAGGGGAGGGCATTGCTGAGTCTCCTGCTGGGAAAACACAGGCCCTGGGCATATAAAAGCCCCAGCAGCTGACAGGCTCACACACACACTCACTCACACACTCACTCACTCACACACCTCCCCCAGCTCACCGCCTCCCCACTCCAGCATGGCCGCCTCCACCATGTCCATCTGCTCCAGCGCCTGCACTGACTCTTGGCGGGTAGTCGACTGCCCAGAGAGCTGCTGCGAGCCCTGCTGCTGTGCCCCAGCCCCCAGCTTGACCCTGGTCTGCACCCCAGTGAGCTGTGTGTCCAGCCCCTGCTGCCAGACGGCCTGTGAGCCCAGCGCCTGCCAATCAGGCTACACCAGCTCCTGCACAACCCCATGCTACCAGCAGTCTAGCTGCCAGCCGGATTGCTGCACCTCCTCCCCCTGCCAGCAGGCCTGCTGTGTGCCTGTCTGCTGTGTGCCCGTCTGCTGCGTGCCCGTCTGTAACAAGCCTGTGTGCTTCGTGCCTACCTGCTCCGAGTCTTCCCCTTCATGCTGCCAGCAGTCTAGCTGCCAGCCAACTTGCTGCACCTCCTCCCCATGCCAGCAGGCCTGCTGTGTGCCTGTCTGCTCTAAGTCCGTCTGCTATGTGCCTGTGTGCTCTGGGGCTTCCACTTCATGCTGCCAGCAGTCTAGCTGCCAGCCTGCTTGCTGCACCGCCTCCTGCTGCAGACCCTCCTCCTCCGTGTCCCTCCTCTGCCACCCTGTGTGCAAGTCCACCTGCTGCGTGCCCGTCCCCTCCTGCGGTGCCTCTGCCTCCTCCTGCCAGCCCAGCTGCTGCCGCACGGCCTCCTGTGTTTCCCTCCTCTGCCGCCCCGTGTGCTCCCGCCCTGCCTGCTACAGCCTCTGCTCTGGCCAGAAGTCCAGCTGCTGACAGCCCTGGATGTGATCCGGAGTCCCTTCCCACCAGGGGCTGACCTCCCAGCTGCCCCAGCAAGCTCTGCCCTCTCTGGCTTTGACACCCTCAGAAGGTGGGGCAGGCTCTTTGTCTTGGGGACCAGGATGCTCCCCCAGTCCTTCCCAGATGATGGCTGCCTGTGGGACCCCAGCTACTCCCCCAGACCCAAGTTCTGCAGAACTAACCCCCAGCAGGCCTGGTTCCACCCTGGGCAGCACCCCCTCTAGTTCTAATAAAGCCGCCTCTGTCTCACACCAACCTCTGTCCTGTCTGTGGACCCCCGGGGGGGCACAGGGTGAGGTGGGAAGTGATGCCACCCCTGACTGCAGGGAGAGTCCTGACCCCCAGCAGGCCTGGCTCCACCCCTCTGTCTCTGTCGACCTTCCATCCTGTCTGTGGACCCCCGAGGGGCATGGGATGAGGCAGGAAGCAATGCCTTCTGGTGCTGGCCTCTGTGAACCCTGAAGGCCAGTCTCCCTCTTAGCCCCGTGGGCCCCCAACCCCAGCACGTGGCCCCCCGGCCCATCTTAGGAAAGCTGCCTCTGGAACCAAGGCCAGGAGTTTCGGGACAAAGTGGACCCTGGCAGCACTCTGGGCCCCTGAGCCACATTCACCCTCCCCAGCTCCATGGCTGCCCCCCAGGCCTGGGGTAGACCACCTGGGGCCTGGCTCCACCCAGCAGCCTCACCCCTCCTGTTACCCCTGGGGAGACCAGCTATGGACCACAGTGCTCATCCCTGCAGCCCTCATCTCCTCCACAGTAAGACATTGGGACCACGCCCTCCCCCAGGACTCGAGCCCAGCAGCCCAGTATTCATGGGGTTCTGGAATACCCATTGCTCAGGCATCGCTGGCGAGAGCACAGATGGGCAGGGACCATGGCACCCACTAACCAAGCCTGCGGGCCCCCCTGCCCCATGCGGCCTCACCTAGACATTCAGGGTCCTGGCTCCCTTTTGGTCCCGTGGTCCTGGACTCTGACCCCGAGGACCCTGTCCCCGCACCCCCAGCCTCCCAGGTCTCTCCCAAATAGCCCTCAGCTCTGCCTGCCACCCTCCGTCCCAGATGCCACGTCGGGGAAGTGGCACAAGCTGCTGCACTCTTTCCGCCAGGTCGCTGTGCGCATTTGAGAGCGCACGTCCGGCTCCAGCAAATGACCCTTGCGTGTCAATGACAGAGGCCGCCAGCCCCAGCACCAGGACCTCCCGGAGTCCCACCCCACAGAGCTCCCTGTGGTCAGCACAGCCGCCTCGCTCACTCCCCTCGAGGCAGATCACCCAGGACAACCAGCAGCAGCCGTCCCCAGGGCTGGTGGCCAAACTGACACAGCCTTGTCCACCTCCTTGGAAGCAAAGCCAAGTCCCCATGAAAGGACAAATGGGGGCCTCCAGGGACAGAGATGTTTGTCCAAAAACCTGCCCCGGTTTTTGGGGCAGCTGGCAGGGGCCGAGCCTTCATCCTAGGTCTCCGGGGCCATCCTCGGGAGGGGCTCCCCACACATGCATGTCTGAGCCCCACATCACTGTGCTCACTGATGGCCACAGGGTCAGAACAGAGAGCCAGGAGGAGGGCCCGGGGCTGGCTCTCTGACCTCCTCCACATTTGCCATTGTCCCCACCTTCCCTGTCCAAGGCACCGACAGGACCCAGCCTGTCTGGCCGTCCCCAGGGAGGATACCTCCTGGTGGGGGGTCTCAGCTCTGACTCCTACTCTGGGTCCTCATTCGATGTGTCTTCTGCCTCATCAGAGCTTCAACCCCCAGTGAAAGCACCTTGGAAAACAGTTCCTCAAAATGTCACTCACTGTGTGACCCTGTGACCCTGTCAGTCCAGTTCTAGGCATCTACCCCGGAGGAATGAAACAAACGTCCACACACAGATTTCTGTGCCCATGTACACAGCACCACTGACAGTAGCCAAGAAGTGGAAAGAGCCCAAATGTCCATCAGAGGATGAATGGACAAGCAAAACACAGCCTATCCACACAAGCAAAACACAGCCCATCCCCATGGGAATATTATTCAGCCATGAAAAGGGATCAAATACTGACACAGGCTACAACATGCATGAGCCTTGAAAGCATGATGCTCAGCGAGTGGCCACATGTGGTGGGATTCTATTTGTATGAAAGACTCAGAACAGGCAAATCCGCAGAGAAAGGAAGTAGATGAGTGTGTGACCAAGGCTGGTGGAGGGGCTCATGAGGAGTGACTGCTTATGGGTGTGGTTTTTGGAGTGGGAATGTTGTAAAATTACATATTGGTGATGGCTGAGAAACACTGGGAATATATTAAAAACCAGTGGATTGTGCACTTACAGTGGGTGAACTTCATGGCTTGTGAATTTTCTCTTGGTCAATGTGTTAAAAACAAATAGTCTCAGCCCTCCATTTGGGATGGCCACTGGCCAATGCCTCCACCTCCCCTTCATCCAGATAAAAATGAATGGCGCCAGAGCAGTGATAGAAAATGGAGGCATGCCATCCACAGACCAGGTCAGTAAGGATTTTCTGGGAAAGGCAAGACAAAAAGATCAGGTTCTATTGACTTTAAATCCAACAGAAAGAAAGGCAGAAGGACTCTGAAGACAAATGACTTTTCCCGGAGACCCTAGCAAAGGGACCATACATGAGGATGACTGTGGGCACTCAGTGGTCTTTAACTGATGGGTCGAGTTCTGAAGAAGAGCCATTCCATGCCTGCAACCAGCGGGAGAACCAGGAAGGGTGGGGTTGGCCCAGGAGACTCCCAGCCTAGGTCCCAATCTGGAGAGGAAGAGGCCACGCCCCAGGAAGCTCTGGATGCCAAGATGAACTGGAGCCCCCATGTCCAATCAGCGATGAACAAGGCCCCCCTCATCAGAGCCCCAGCATCAGCTCTGGATGCAGAATATGTGTATCTATGTGCAGAAAACCTTTCAGCAATGAATGCCAAACAATCTAGACCCTCACTTAAAAATGTGAATGACAACTAAGGGTCCTCAGACATGTGAGGAAATCACAGCATGACAGAGAAGCAAAGTCTGAACAAGCGATGATGCAGATGTGAGGAAACAAAGAGGCTGTCACTCCATGAAACAAGAACAGGGTGCTACCAAAAAGGAGGAGGAAGAGGAGGAAGGAAAACACCCCAAGTTCCAGGAGACTGAAAGCATGACACTCTCAACACAGATGAAACTCAATGATGGTCTGCATAATAGACCCTGAAAGCAGAATTGCTGATACAGTGACCCCAGTTCAGGCAAGGATTGACCCAAACCCAATGCAGAAGGACAGAGATAAAGCCAAGAAGAGCCTGAGATCTGAGTGGGAAGAGCCCAGGAGACCCAGGGTCTGTGATCCTAACCGGGATCGCAGTGGGGAGAAAATCCAAGAATGGAAGAAAATCATCAGACCCATATGAGAATAAAAGTTTTTTGAACTAAAGGAAGATGGGATCGAGGGGATGAACACAGCTGATGACAGTGACGAGGGAGGGGTCTGGTGAAATGAATGAAGTAAAAGAAAGAGACAATAGTGCCAGGTTCTAGACAGAGGAAAGACTTCACAAGAAGATCAAAGTTATGCAAATATGAGATGCATTGGTGGCCCAGCCTCTACCAAGGTGGAGGGAAGAAATTCCGCACCTAGACTCTGCTGTGGCAGGCTTCAGCGGGAAGGCTGTTCTTAAACAACAGGGATCCGGAAAATTTACCACCCACAATGCTTTCTGAAATTTTTACTCAGCAATTTCCAACAAGAAGAAACACGACCCCCTCTTTTCAAACGTCCACAAAAATCCACAGACACCCATCAAGGAAAATCTAAAGAAAATAAAAATAAAGTCTAATAAAAATAAGCAGACATGAAAGATGGAAAAAGAAGTATGCTCACAGATTCAGAGATTTTCCTGTTTCAGTATAAGAAAATAGTATGGGTATATTTATCCTAAAATTTGGAAATATAAATTAAATGTACTGTGTCCTAAAAAATATAAATTACCTACCCTGAGTAACAAGACAAAAATTTTAATACAATGATATCCAGGAAAATATGGAAATGGTATTGAAAAAGCTCATTCTTCAGAAGGCAGACTCAGATGTTTCAAAGATGTATACCATCAGCCTTCAATACAAAGACTTTTCTGTGATACTTGAAATATTCCAGAGATCAGAAGAAGCCAGAGGTCCTCTGGATTCCTCTAGTAAGACTGGTGACATCCTGATGCCAAAACCAGGAATAACAGCGAGAGAGATAGGACTGTAGACCAACATCATTTAAAAAAATAATGTAAGAGATTGTATGAACCTACAATAACAGAAAACTAAGCCACTATGTATAGCCATTATGGGAAATAGTACGGAAGTTCCTCAAAAAATTAAAAATGGGGCCGGGCGCAGTGGCTCATGCCTGTAATCCCAGCACTTTGAGAGGCCGAGGCAGGCAGATCACGAGGTCAGGAGATCGAGACCATCCTGGCTAACACGGTGAAACCCCGTCTCTACTAAAAATACAAAAATTGGCCAGGTGTGGTGGCAGGCGCCTGTAGTCCCAGCTACCTGGGAGGCTGAGGCAGGAGAATGGCGTGAACCTGGGAGGCAGAGCTTGCAGTGAGCCGAGATTGTGCCACTGCACTCCAGCCTGGGCAACAGAGCGAGACTCTATCTCAAAAAAAAAAAATTAAAAACTTAAAAATTAAAAATGGAACTACCATGTGATGAGCAATCCCACTTCTGTGTATTTAAACAAGACAAATTAAAGCCAGAGCTCAGAGATACCTGCACTGCCATGCTAACTGCAGCACTATTCACAACAGCAAAGATACGGAAGCAACATAAGTGATCATCAACAGATGAGTGGATAAAGAAAATGCGGTGCATATGCATGATGGAATACGATTCAGCCATAGAAAGGAAGGAGATCCTGTCATCTGTGACAACATGGATGAACCTGCACACACTATGCTAGGTGAAGTGACCCAGGCACAGAAAGACAAATACTGCAGACCTCACTTATTTGTGGAATCTAAAAAAGCCAAGTTCACCAAAGCAGAGAGTAGAATGGGGATTCGAGGGCCAGGGGGTGCAGGGAGTGGGGACATGTTGATGACAGGATACAGCTTCAGCTGTGCAGGATGAGTCAGTTCTGGAAACCTCATGTGCAGCATGAGGACAGTTGACTGTAACACAGAACGCAACATAGTAACACCGAAATCTGCTAAGAGTCCATCTTAAATGTCTCATCACAAAATAAAGGTAACTACATGGGGTGATGGACATATTAATTAGCTTGACCGTGGTAATCATCACACAATGTGTACATGTATCAAGACGTCATGTTGTATACCTTGAATTTATATAATTCTTGTTTGTCAATTATATCTCAATAAAGCTGGGGAAAAAGGGATAATGAGCTATTATCAAGTAATGTATATCTTAGATCACTCAAGTTACAAAGGGTATCATTAACTATACTCATAAAATAGAAGCAGAAAAGCCACTGGAACTCTCAGTAGATTAATACACACACATTCACACACATACACACACACATACACAAACAAACTCACTCCTTCCTTAAAAGCCTGAGGCAAAATTCATGATAAACTAAAGTAGGAAAACACTGCATGCACGAGACCAAGGCTGTGCGACAAAGCAGCAAACATCGGCTTAGTGCGGAGTTGCGGGAAGCATTTCTGTTAACTTTGGAAACAAGACCAGAGGGCTGCTGTCATCGCGTCTCCAGCATTGTGCTGGGCAGCCAGCCACGACGAAAGGGAGTCAAATAAAACAAAAGACTACGTTTTGGAAAAGAAGAATCCAAATGTGTGTCACTTGCAGAAGACCTGGCCGTGGGCCACCCTGCCCTCCAGACTCACATCCCCTCCCGGCACCTCCCTCTCCCAGCCAGGGCCATTTAATCCCTGCCATTCAACTCACTCAGATCCCCAGAGTGTCTGCTTGATTTAAGAAATGGTTTGATCATTTGATTGTCCACAGAAGCTGCCCTGCTGGCCCCCAGTGGAAAGTTCCATGATCCAAAAAGTCATGTCTCCAGTGAGTCCAGGGCTCTACAGTTGCACCTCATGTTGTGGCTGACGTAAAAAGACTGTACGTGCACTGTGTGTGTCTGTAGTACATCCACTAATACGATGTCACCCTAGACTTCCTGGCTTTCCTATCATCTCCTGAAAGCATCACCAAGTCCTTCAGTCCCAGAAAGCGGATTAAGCACACAGATCTCACACACCTGTACTAATAATCACTGAAAGGATATTTAAAGAGTTATAAAAAATGAAATCAAAATTATCTAACAAAAACGGGAGGCTCAGCAGGGTCCTTCATATGTTTGTAGAAAAGAGAAGCAGACAGAAACAGGTTAGGGAGTAAATTGGAGCAGGACCCTAATGCACTGGAATAAAATAGTCTTTTATTCAGAAAACTGAATGAACTGCCACCAATGAGCAGACTATCTGATGTCCAAGGAAACAAGAAAAAAACATTTAAAAACTCAAAGTAACATCATCAGAGTGAATGGATAACATATTTCATTCATCACAAGATGAAATAAAAAGTCATAAAAAGAGAGACCAGGAAAGATGAAATTATTATTAAAAATGGAAAAACACTTCGGAGATAAGTCTTTATATTGAAAGGCTCAATAAGTTCTAACCACTGAAAGTAAAATAATGCATTAGCCTAGAAACAAAAGCGTGACACTTTAGAACAATAAAAAGAAACCCAAATGCTCCCAGAGAGTTAAGGAAAGAGAGAAACTAAAAAATGACAAATGACCAGTATCAGACTGTCATCGGCAACACTGGACATCACAAAAAAATGGTGACATGTGTTCATCATTTTGAGGAAAAGTAATTTAAAACCAGAATTTTATACCCAGCTAAACTATCATTATAAATGTGAGGATAAAGTTGACATATTTTCAGACAAGCAAGGAATCTTAAAATGTATGTCCTAAAATCACCATATATGAAAAAGTACTTGATCTTTCACCAAGGCAAAATGAAAATTGAAATAATCCAGAGTGCAGCTTCAAATAAAACAAAGAGCCTCTGAGGGTGGCATGGAAGAGCTGAAGAGACAAAAATAAAGCTTGGATCCACCAGCTACTGAATCTCTGAGCATTCTCCTTACAAGGTGTGAGGGATCGAAGGGAGGGCCACTTAGCTTTTTTTTTTTTTTTTGAGACAGAGTCTTGCTCTGTCACCTAGGCTGGGGTGCAATGGTGCAATCTCAGCTCACTGCAACCTCCACCTCCTGGGTTCAAGAATTCTCCTGCCTCAGCCTAAGTAGCTGGGACTACAGGCACATGCCACCATGCCTGGCTAATTTTTTGTATTTTTAGTAGAGACCGGGTTTCACCATGCTGGCCAGGCTGGTCTCAAACTCCTGACCTCGTGATCCACCCACCTCAGCCCCCCAAAGTACTGGGATTAGAGGCATGAGTCACCACGCTCAGCCAGCTTCCTCTTATCTTATCGTCTGTGCCGTTTTTATTTCATATGAAGTGTACATTTTTCTCCATGTTTATGTTTTAAGATGCTAAAAGTAATAAAATATATCTAATCAGTCCAGAAACAGGATAGGTGGAAACAGAATTGCTTCCTTTGGAGAAACGTTCATCTCTAAAACCTCAACTCAACAAAAGCTTGCTTGAAATATTTTCCGGCCGGACGCGGTGGCTCACGCCTGTAATCCCAGCACTTTGGGAGGCTGAGGCGGGTAGATCATGAGGTCAGGAGTTCAAGACCAGCCTGGCCAAGATGGTGAAACCCCGTCTCTACTAAAAATACAAAAATTACAGCGTGCCTGTAATCCCAGCTACTCGGGAGGCTGAGGTGGGAGAATCGCTTGAACCCAGGGGGCGGAGGTTGCAGTGAGCTGAGATCGCGCCACTGCACTCCAGCCTGGGTGACAGAGCAAGACTCCCTCTCAAAAAAAAAAAAAAAAAAAAAAAAAAAAAAGGAAATATTTTCCACCACATTTCTGTGGCCAAAATAAAAACTGATGAAGAAACAGAGCCCTGCGACATACATACCAGTTTAATAAGGGAAAAACAAAGAGATAAACCAGCATGAATGATGCATCTCCAGCCACCAGCTGTAAACACCAACAAGGAAGAAAAGCTTGTGGAGCCTCCTGTTGGGACAACACATGCCAGGGAGGGATTTAAAAGCCCCACAGCCCTGAGCACCTCACTCACTCACTCACACACACACTCACACACTCACTTACACCTCCCCCAGCTCACCTCCTCCCCACCCCAGCATGGCCGCGTCCACCATGTCTGTCTGCTCCAGCGCTTACTCCGACTCCTGGCAGGTGGACGACTGCCCAGAGAGCTGCTGTGAGCCCCCCTGCAGCGCCCCCAGCTGCTGCGCCCCGGCCCCCTCCCTGAGCCTGGTCTGCACCCCAGTGAGCTGTGTGTCCAGCCCCTGCTGCCAGGCGGCCTGTGAGCCCAGCGCCTGCCAATCAGGCTGCACCAGCTCCTGCACGCCGTCATGCTGCCAGCAGTCTAGCTGCCAGCCGGCTTGCTGCACCTCCTCCCCCTGCCAGCAGGCCTGCTGTGTGCCTGTCTGCTGCAAGACTGTCTGCTGCAAGCCTGTGTGCTGTGTGCCTGTCTGCTGTGGGGCTGCTTCTTCGTGCTGCCGGCAGTCTAGCTGCCAGCCAGCTTGCTGTGCCTCTTCCTCCTGCCAGCCGGCCTGCTGTGTGCCCGTCTGCTGCAAGCCTGTGTGCTGTGTGTCCACCTGCTCTGAGGATTCCTCTTCATGCTGCCAGCAGTCTAGCTGCCAGCCAGCTTGCTGCACCTCCTCCTCCTACCAGCAGGCCTGCTGCGTGCCTGTCTGCTGCAAGACTGTCTACTGCAAGCCCATCTGCTGTGTGCCTGTCTGCTCTAGGGCTTCCTCTTCACGCTGCCAGCAGCCTAGCTGCCAGCCAGCTTGCTGCACCACCTCCTGCTGCAGACCCTCCTCCTCTGTGTCCCTCCTCTGCCACCCCGTGTGCAGGTCCACCTGCTGTGTGCCCGTCTCCTCCTGCTGTGCCCCCACCTCCTCCTGCCAGTCCAGCTGCTGCCGCCCGGCCTCCTGCGTGTCCCTCCTCTGCCGCCCCGCAAGCTCCCGCCTGGCCTGCTACAGCCTCTGCTCAGGCAAGAAGTCCAGCTGCTGAGTGCTCAATCCTTGTCTCCTGCTGACTGTGTCTTTGCTGCCAAGCAGGATTCTCCAGTCTCAGGAGCCCCTGGAGTCCTCAGAATCCACCAGCTCCATCAGTAGCCACAGAGCTGCTGCCTGAAGGGGATTTTGAGCGCGTCACACTTTCCTCCCCACTGTCTGGGAAGAGACAACCCACAAATCCCTCAGCAGGTGGACTGTGGCTTTCTGGAGCCCCCTTCTCCAAATGTGTTGCTTATACCCAATGTGACAAAGAAGAACTGCTCTAATCAATAAATTCTTGAGTCAGGAAATACGGGCTGGTGTGCACTTTCTGCTCTTCCCCTGAGCCCCTCTGCCTACTCCAAATTTGGGGTGTGGGACCCACTGTCTTGTTAAAGGCAGACAGGACAGTGTCTCTCATTCCGAGATCAAACACTTGGAAGACAGCAGGCTTTGAAAGCAAATGTGATCAGCTCCACACTCTTCCTGCAGCCAAAGCCCTGCCCACAGGGGATGAGCCTCCAAGCTGAGCCAGGGAGGGGAGCAGAGCTGAGTGGGCTCGGCCTCTGGTGAGCTTTGGGCCACCCGCCCATGCCTGTCCCCTGCCAGTCCAAGCTAAAGCTGAGTCGGGAAGAAGCAGAAATCCCGTTCAGTTGGGACCTGAGAGCCCCAGGCACCGTGCTGGCCTCGTGGTGTGTGGGCCGTGGAAAAGGTGCCCACACAGAGGGCTGCCCCGAGAGTTTGAGGGCCACTCTGTGTGCTCTGAAGCACTAGCAATTTCATGGGCCCCAAGAGGGGTCCTGGAGTTACTCAGACGTCACTCATCCTACTCAGGGTTTAAGGCCTGGGTGAGGAGACACAGAGCAAAAAGACACCTTATCGATGAACCCTTAGGACAGTGGGAGAGGATGAGGCTGTAGTCTCAGTGGACCACTAGCACTGGAGAGTGAAGAGGGCACTAGTGAGACCAGTCAGGTCAGCACCTCCTCAGGAGGCTGGGAGGGCCCAGGGAAGAAGCAACAGAACAAAAACCCCAAGAGGACCTTGAACCAGAAAGTAGCTGAATTTAAACCCACGTGGACTCATAAATCTCTCAGTCTTCCAGAGTTTATTCAACCCGTGTCCGTTACTTGCTTATTCAAATATTAAGAAAAATACGGCCATCCCCATAAATAAGTGGACAAAGGCCTTCATGGACCTTTCATAGCACAAACAGTTAAAAAAAGAGGGGGAGATGTTTCCACCTCACCACTAACCAAAGGAACAGGGGAGCCTAAGGCACAGGGGAGTCGGCACAGGGCGCACCAACATTGCTGAGGCCAAGCCGCTGTGCAGCCAGCGGGCAGACGCACCCAGGGCCGCAGCCTCCAGGGCACCAGAGACTTTCAGCCTCCCGATGGCTCCCGAGGGGAAAGGCAGGGACAGCCATGGCCGAGCACAGCTTGTGACACCCGGGCCCCTGTGCTCTCTGTGGCAGCTGACATGCAGGTCTGCTGGTGGCCGTGTGTCCATGCAACTGTCCAAGCCCACGCGGTCAAGCTGCCGTGCCAGACGCAGAGGAGAAACTAGGGCTGCAGTGGCGGGGTCCCCTCCCTTGTGAACGTGCGTGAAGGTGCTCACAGCACAGCGACAGCTCCGAGTGCTCTGCCCCTCCCAGGTCCCGGGGTGCCCCTCCTGTCTGTGAGGGAGATGCGGGACCCACTGAGTCAGGGGCAGCTGCTGCCTGCAAAGGCATCCCGTGAAACCACAGGAAACCGCAAAGCTCCCTCCACCGCCTGCTGGACAGAGCCGGACGGCTCCTGGGGACCGGGGGAGGGTGTCTGTAAGGCGAGGACATGGTTGGTGCATGCTCGTCAGGGTGTGATCAGAGACCCTCCAGCCTGCAGACACCCTCGCCCAGTTGTAAGGGTGAGAGCACAGCCCCAGGCGAGGCTGCTGGCCTGGGAGGAGGGATGAGCAGCGGTCTGTGGAGGAGGCCTTCTAAGGAGTCCCCCTGCACCTCACATGCTCATCAATACAGGGCATCCTGGTAACGGAAGTTTCTAGATATGGGCCTCTCAGCAGGAGGGGTACACTGGCTGGTGCTCCTCTTAGCTGATTTCTTGGTTCCCAAACGGCTCCCCCGCTACCCACGTGTGCCAACAGCCCCCTTCTACTGAGGACAGCACCCCCTCCAGGCAAATCCCACTCATACCCAGGACGTGCCCACACCCCTTCTCCCGTGTGGCCCACACGCATGCCACAGGGACCAAGCTGGCTCTGTCGGGGCAGCCCTCGGTTTTGGGGGCCAAGCTTCCCATTCTTGGAATTAGTGCAGGCATCCCCCATACAGGCCTCCCTCCTTCTGCAATAGCTTCAATGCCTGGATGGGAGCCAGGCCACCCTCAGGCCCAGCTTCGGGCCTTCCTGTGTGTGCAGTGGGCTTGGGCTGTGTCCTGAAGAGGCCCAGCCACGCGGATTCTCAGTGGACTCTTCCTTCCCAAGGAACCACGATGAAAGACGCCACAGCCCACTGACGCACAGAGGAACCCAGGCTGCTCTCATGGCTTTGCACCGACCTCTTTCCTGGGCTGAACAGTGTCCCCTTAAAAAAAGACATGTTGGTCCAGACGTGGCGCATGCCTGTAATCTCAGCACCGTGGGAGGCCGAGGAGGGAGGACCACTCGAGCCCAGGAGTTCGAGAGCAGCCCAGGCAACACAGTGAGACCCCATCTCCACAGAAAATACAATACAATTTAGCTGAACATGGTGGTGTGCACCTCTAGTCCCAGCTACTTTGGTGGGAAGACGGCTTGAGCCTGGGAGGTCAAGGCTGCAGTGAGCCGTGATCGCGCCACTGCACTCCAGCCTGGGTGACCAGGCAAGACCCTCTCCAAAAAAAAAAAAGAAAGAAAAGGTATATGTTGGATGCTGATCCCTCATACTGTAAACATGACCTTACGTGGAAACAGGACCTTTGCAGATGTAGTCAAGTTGAAGTGAAGTCATTAGTGGGGGACCCTGAGCCAACACCACTTCTGTTTTTATAAAAAGGCAAAATTTGCACACGAACGGGCACCTGGAGAACGCCATGTGACGACGGCGGCAGAGACTGGGGCCACGTGACGACGGGGGCAGAGATTGGGGCCACGTGATGACGGAGGCAGAGATTGGGCAATGCCCCTGCAGGCCAAGGACACCAAAGAAGGCAACAGGCCCAGAAAACAGGACAGAGTCATCCCCCAGATGGGGACAGACTCTCCTTCACCACCATGGAAGGAACCAGCCCCACTGACGCCTTCACCTCGGACTGCAGTCCTCCAGAACCGTGAGATGTGAGCTTCTGCCATGTCACATAGCTGGCGTGGGACTCTGTCACAGCAGCCCCCGGATGTCAACACGCCCTCCAGCTCCAGCCCCCAGTGAGGGTGGAGAGTCCAGGGAAATGGGGCTGGGGGCTGGGAAAGGAGTTCTGAGGGAAGTGCCTGGGGCCTGTGACCTCCTACAGGCCAAGGGACAGGCCACAGAGATCCCCAGAGGTGGACGGAGTCCTCTGAAGAGGGGACAACCATGGCTTGGCTCTGACACACCCAAGAAGTCTGAGGCCGGAATCTGCAGATGCTCTGGGGGAGGACAGGGTGACACTCCCTGATGGTCCCCCAGGTCCAGGTGGCGCCCCACCAGGGAGGGGGCACCAGGGGTGGACTCAGGCTCTGCAGTAGAACCTGGGGAGAGGACAGGTCTTGGCAGAAGGAAGCTGTTGGCACCAGCTAGAGTAGAGCCTCTTCCAGGCTGGGGGAGCCACAGGGAAAAAGCTCCCACAATGGACAGGCCACGAGCGGGAGAGTGAGGCCGAAGCCCTGGCAAGCAGAGAGAGTGACAGCCCAGTCACCACAGGTCTCCAGAGAGGAGACTTGTCTCTCCTCCCCTTTTCTTCTCCTTGCCTCCCCCACACAGCCCCAGACAGCTCACGGCTGTGGCTGGCAAGACCACGCAGTGTGTAGAAACACCAGGCTGTGAGACAGAGAAGTTGGATGTGTGTCCTGTGGCCACAAACTTAGTAGCTTCGAACAACACGAATGGATCATCTCATAGCAGTGGAGGTCCGAAGTCTGCTGTGGGTCTCACAGGGCTAAAATCAAGGCATGGGCAGGGCGGGTTCCTTCGGGAGGCTGCAGGAGAGAATCTTTCCTCATCTCTTTCAGCTTCTGGAAATGGCTCGAGCCCTTGGTTCAGGGCTAGCAGCAGGCATCTCACTCACACCTGCCATGACCTTCTCCTCTGGCCAAATGTCCTCCTCCCTCCTTCTGATAAGGACCCTGTGGAGACACTGGGCCCACCTGGATAATCCAGGGTACTCTCCCATTAGCCACACCTTATGGTCCACACATATTAAGTTCCCTTAATTAGCCACACGTGTGAAGTCCCTGCTGCCACAAAAGGTGACACTCATAGGTTCTGAGAACCAGGATGTGGACATCATTGGCGACCATACTCAGCTGGCCACAGAAGTTCACCTCTATGGACTAAGGGGAAAAAAATCAAGCTTTTAAAAAATGAAAGTTAGTTTGCTTCAGAAGTCTTACTGAGGACTATAGACCGAGGCCTATATAGCCCAGGAGCAGTTTAGGCCTCAGTAAGACTTCTGAATAAAACTTTCTTTTTTTTTTTTTTTTTTTTTTGAAACGGAGTCTCACTGTGTCGCCCAGGCTGGAGTGCAGTGGCGCGATCTCGGCTCACTGCAAGGTCCGCCTCCCGCGTTCACACAATTCTCCTGCCTCAGCCTCCCGAATAGCTGGGAGTACAGGTGCCTGCCACCTCTCCCGGCTAATTTTTTGTATTTTTAGTAGAGACGGGGTTTCACTGTGTTAGCCAGGATGGTCTCGATCTCCTGACCTCGTGATCCGCCCGCCTCGGCCTCCCAGAGTGCTGGGATGACAGGCGTGAGCCACCGCACCGGGCCCCATTCTCTAAAAGTTTAATTTTTTTCCTTAGATGAAAATCACAGTGACCCAGATAGGACTCAGAGTGGACTGCTCAGGGACGTCTGGAACACTGCGGGGACCCAGCACCCCGGTACCAGCACAGGCCACTTGAGCCCCCACGGCTCCTCCATGGTTACAGGTGACTGAGTGACTCTCTCCTGAGTCTCTGACCTCCCACTTGGTTGAGAGTCCTGAGTTGTATTCAGTTAGTTCATTTTACTTCTTGCTGAAGGGGTACATTCTTCTGTGAGACTTTTTATGTCTTACGAAGGGGGAATTCTCCTCGTTGAAAGATACTAGGTAGGAATGGCTTCATGTGTAACCCATACAGAGTCTATACTTGCAAGTATCTTTCTAGAAGTAAGGGGTTAGCTAAAGGAGATTGAACACTGAAATGGCCAAAACTGGGATTCTCAAACATTAAGGCGTGCCAGGTTTTCTGGGACTCCAGTTGACTACATATCATGGCCCATTCTTGTACACATTTTTAAATAGTTAAATTATATCAAGGAAAAGTCAGAACTCAGAATCATCAACCTGCAAATATAGGGTTAAAATGTAGAGTCTTCTGGCGGGGTGTGGTGGCTCACACCTGTAATCCCAGCACTTTGGGAGGCCGAGGCGGGTGGATCACAAGGTCAGGAGATCAAAACCATCCTGGCTAACACGGTGAAACCCCGTCTCTACTAAAAATACAAAAAAAATTAACCAAGCGTGGCGGCGGGCACCTGTAGTCCCAGATACTCGGGAGGCTGAGGCAGAAGAATGGCGTGAACTTGGGAGGTGGAGCTTGCAGTGAGCTGAGATCACGCCGCTGCACTCCAGCCTGGTGACAGAGCGAGACTCCATCTCAAAAAAAAAGAAAGATAAATGATGCTAGTCCTTGCCTTTTCCTGAACAAGATAACGTCTTATAGGGCGAGTGATGATGCCTCTGCGGTCCATAACCAGATGTGCTCCTGCCCCCAAACCCGGATGTGATTCTGCTTTGATGCAGCTTCTGAGCCAGTTTCATGTGATCTGCACGTGCTGACCTCCCGCCACCTGCATATGAACTGTGAGCTGAAACCCGGGGCGGAGCCTCTGACAGGGCTGCCCCCGGGCTGGTGTGAGCTGAAACACGGAGCCGGAATCTCTGACAGAGCTGCCCCCGGCTAGAAACCTCACTCTTCTATAGTCCTCGGTAAAACTTCTGAGTAAAGCTCACTTTAATTCCTTAAAAGCTTTTTTTATCAACACCACAAACCTCTTTCCCATCCAGTTGGATGAAGGAGTAGCTATAGATTTAAATTTAGTTTAAGGTTTTAATTTCTTGACAAGAGTGGGTTGCACATACCAGCTAATAAGCAGATGGCCCGTTTTACCTAAAATGGATCAAACTACAAAATTAGTGATTTGTCCTCAATCTCACCCAGAAGAGAGTAAGAACTGACCTCATACATTTAAGGAACAAAGTGGGACGAAGGAAGCCTGATGTGACTGGGGTTGGGGGTTCCCATCAGGCCAAGCTCAGGAGCACGGCCCACTAGCCCGAGAGGGTGCTGTTGAGAGGCCGCTCACCAGGCCTAACATTCATCTGGTACCTGCCCCTTCTCTGCAGGGAAGGAGCTTTCCAGAATCCTGGGGAAGGTACCTCCTGAGGAAGGAGTGTGGGAAAGACACTGAGGAGAAGGCATCACACAGACTCAGGTGAGCACTCAGCATCTGGTATTTATGATATTTGCAAGAGACCTAACATCAGACAGTGCGGAGGGCCCTGTGGATGGCCCAGGCTGTGAACCCAGGAGAAACTGTGTAGAAAGGCGCATGGCCTCACCGGCTGGGATCTAGTGACGGTGCCGCAAAGGAGGCAGGCGGTCTAGTCAGGTGACGACAGTTTGCTGTGGGAGGATGTGGGGACTGCCTGGCAGGAGTTCAGAGAGCCTGCTGGCTTCTGACCTCGCACCTACGAGGGTCATAGGAGGCCACCTGCTCAGCAGCCAGTGGGGGTGCTCCAGGTGACAGGTCTATAGACCAGGGTGGGGCAGAAGGGCTGGCAGCACCCAGAGGTTGGGCAGAAGGAAGCCACACACAAAACAGGCTTGCAGCTCACAGGCACACAGCAGGCCACCTGGCAGGGGCTGGGCACACAGCAGGCTGGCTGGCAGCAGGTGGATACCCCACACAGGGGCCGGCACAGCAGAGCCACACAGGGGGCTGAGCAGCAGCAGGAGGTCCCATAGCCCTCGGGTGGGTAGCAGGTGCTGGGGACACAGCACGGGGAGCCAGGGCAGGCCATTGGGCAGCCCGAAGAGTGGCTGGTGTGGCACATGATGGAGTGTGGACAGGTGGGGGGCGCAGAGGACAGGGCTGGTCTGGAGCCTGCTTCCTTAGGTGGCCTTTATACCCAGGCTACCGGCATCCTGGCAACAAGCCCCCTGGCATCTTCCTCGTGGGTGGTTTTTCCTCCTCTGCCCTGTCTGGTTGATCTTTCTGTGTTTTTCTGTTGAGGTTACTCAGTTCAGGAAACTCTTTCAGCTAGGGGTGCCCTATCATTCAGCAGACCGTGTGTTTCCTGGAAACAGAGCAGGGGTAGCTGGTGAAGGGCTGTCAGTGAGGCCAGGGGCCCACCTCATGGATGTTCAAGGTCCCCCCGTTGTAAATGCCATCTGGAGCTCACACAAGCACAGTCACACTCACTACACCAGGGGCCCCGTTTTGACTGAGAAGCTCAGTCATCATCAGGGTCTTCCCAAGTAACGAGAGCCAAACTACTGGGCTCTATATTGTGGAATAATAATGATGATTATTGAGGTAACAGTAATGCACAGAGGTCTAGCACTGTGCCAGGCTGTGATTATCTCATTCATCTTTGCCAGCATTCGGGGTGGCCGATACCCCATTTTACAGATGTGCAATTTGTAAGTCATAGAGGGTTTGCACAATGGGTGCGTGTCTGCACCACTGCAGAGGTGCAGGGATCTGGACTGCTTAGTTTCACTCTGGGATCCATGGTCGTTACCACTGTGCCAAATTATACTAGGGCTTGAAGGTTCAATAAGTGACTCATCCTGAAGTCCTGAACCAGCTCGGACAGAGAAGATGGACGAAAACATCAGCCACGTTGGCGTCTGCAGAGCATGGCTCAGGCGTGTGACCACAGTGGGCTTCCTGACACCACACCTCAGAAGTGCCCACTTCCCACGAGTAGCACTAATGGCCACAGGACACCTCCTCTGCAGACGGAGCCCAGGAGGACCCATCACGGAGTCGGGCATGAGCTATTCATATCTGGTTCCTCTCCCTCGCTGTGGGTCTGATCAGTCTCACCCCTGCAGAGGCAGCTTGGGGGAAAGTGAGGAGCTGGTGTGAAATTCCAGGATGCCCCTGAACTTGGGAAGCAGCGGGCAGGAGTGTGGATGACACGCTCCTCCTCACACTCCAGCTCTGTTCTCTTGATGGATTGGCCACAGCGCTTTATTCTACGGTGGTGTCACACGGTGGGGGATGAGCCATCTCTCAGGGCAGAGCTACTCTGTCCATCCCAGGCAGCTCCCAGGGGCACCCTCTGCTCCTGTGTGGGTCCTTCTGTGCCTGCTGGTGGTGGATATGGGTGATTCCTGCCAAGAAGCCTTCAGACAAGTCAGACACCACATTAATGAAATCCCCTCCAAGGCTGAAGACCAAGTGGGGTCTCAGAGCTGTGGACAGAACTTAGAAGTCTATGGACCCAGAGCCGATCTGTGGCCATGTGGGAGTCACCTTAAGGCCTAGGGACAAGCCGGGCGAGGCCACAAGTTCACAGGCAACTCCTTTCACTGCTATAGTTCAGAATCACACTTAAAAACCAAGAGAATTGGGGCAGCCACAGTGATTGTGAGCTAGTCACCAAGTAATCCATTTTAAAAGTTGGTTGTCTTACGAGTCGATTACAGAAGAACAAGGATGCGTCTTTGATATTTATCTGCTCCTTTACCTTCCCCTGTTCCTCCTACTCCTTCCTGCAGGTCAGGGCCCACCTGGCCTCGTCCTAGTCAACCTAAAGGACATCCGTGCACGTCACCTGCAGTGCACATCTGCAGGGGAGGATTTCTCCCAGCTTTTGCTCTTCTGAACAGGTTTTTACCTCAACATGTTTTGAAGGATTTTTTTCATAGGTATAGAATTCTGGGTTGGCAAATTTTTTTTGAGCATTTTAAAGAAGTTGTTCCATTGTCTTCTGGCCTCCACTGTTTTTGCTGAGAAGTGAGGGATTTTCTCATCCTTGCAAGAACCTTATACCTTGTATGAGAAGTGTCTTTTTTTTCCACTGTCTTCAATAATTTTTTGATTTTCATTACTCTTACTATTTGATGCTTGGATATGGTTTTCTTTGTGTTGATCCTCCTAAAGGTTCTGAGATTCTTGGGTCTGTAAGTTGTTATTTTTTAAATCATATTTGGTGCCTTGGGCCATTATTTTTTTGAAACTTATTTATGGTTCAGTATCGCTCTCTTCTCTTTCCAAGGTTCAAACTACTAGTATGTTAGACAGTTCAGTACTGTCTCATATGTCTTTTCATTTTTCTAGATTCTTTCTCCTCTTCTTGAGACAAGATAATTTCTACTGGTGTGTCTTCAGGTTCACTGATTCTTTTTCCATCTGACTCCTAACCCCAAATCCCAGACCCCCCCAGCATGGGATTCTGATGCTTGGTTCTTGGGTCCTCATGATCTGACCAGTTCACCTGCACCCATGGCCCAACACCCAGAGTACAGGATTCCTGCCTCCCCTGGACATACCAGTTTCTGAAGCAGCATCCTCACTCTCTCCATGGCCACATTGTCTCCTCACAGACGCCCCCCAGACCACCCACCAGCACCCCCATTACTATCTCCTGAACCCATTTTCCCCAGCACTCAGCCCTGTATGGAATTATTTCATGCATTCATTTCTTCCTTTACTCATTTATTCATTGCCCACTGCTAGAATGCTCTTGAGGCCAAGACCTCGTTGCTGCTGGTACACAATATATATTTGTTGCATTAACAAATAACTTCTTGTATAGATTACTCTATGGCAGGGTTGGCTAACTTTCTGTAAAGGGCAGACAGCAAATATTTTAGCCTTTGCATGTTACAGTCTCTTCCATAACTATTCAGTTGTGCCACTATAGTGCAAAAGAAGCCACAGACAACACATAAACTAATGACATGCTGTGATCCAATAAGAGTTCATTTGAAAAACAGGCAGTGGGCCAAATGTGGCTCACAGACGATAGTTTGCCAACCTATGCTTTAAAGTTTTACTCTACAAAATTAAAGCTCAAAATACATTATTGCCTCAACATCTTCCTTGATAGCATGAAACAAAAGTGAAACAACGGGATTCGGTACTTTGAGTCGAGCCAGTGGTGCTATGTGCACGGTAGTAGCCTGAAAAAAATTGACAAAAAACCTGCATAACGTCAAACCAGAACATCCTGTTTACAGAAGAAACTAACCTCAAGGCCGAAGCTATTTATGGTGGAGCATGACGCGGGAAAGTACACGCGGGAAAATAAGATGTTGGGAAACACAGTGGAAACAACCACAAGGAAGACAACAGTTGTGTTTTTGTGTTACCCAGATGACAGGACCCAGGTATAAAGACCACCAGAGAAGCAGCTTCCAGACATCACCATCCTCCTCCCCAGTACCAGCCCAGCCACACGCCACCATGTGCCACACCAGCTGCTCCCCAGCCTGCCAGCCAACCTGCTGCATACACAGCCCCTGCCAGGCATCCTGCTATGTGCCCGTGAGCTGCCAGTCCTCCGTGTGCATGCCCGTGAGCTGCACGCGCATTGTGTGCGTGGCTCCCTCCTGCCAGCCCTCCGTGTGCGTGCCCGTGAGCTGCAGGCCCATCATATATGTGACTCCCTCTTGCCAATCTTCGGGGTGCTGCCAGCCCCCCTGCACCACTGCCCTCTGCAGACCCATCTCCTGCAGCACCCCTTCCTGCTGCTGACCAGCTGCTCCTGGTACACGGGGGTACACACCTGTATCCCTCCGTGAATAAGCATCTGGTGGACCCCCAGATTGCACACATAGGGCAGATGAAAAGCATGCCCAAGGAAACCTCTGAACTCTGGGGTGAGAACGTGGAAAAATGATTCAGACCTTCCATGACCCTGGGAACCCCCTCAAGGAAGTCTTGGCTGCCAGAGTCCTTCTCTCACTCCAGCAGGAAACTAAAACCCATGTGAGCCAAATAAATCGGCTGTCCCTATACACCTCGTCTCTCTCTTTTATCTTCATGTATTTCGTAAGTTCTTTCCTTGAAGGTACATACCAACTTCAATGGCAGCAGCACCTCTTCAGAGAGCCACCTTCCTGATGGCTGAGCTGAAGTGGAGGGTCCTTGGTTGGGGGAGTGGCCTGAAGGTTCTGTCCCCCGACTCCCTCCCCAAGCCTTGCACTGTGGGGTAATAAGATGTTGGGAAACACAGTGGAAACCACCATGAGGAAGACAACTCTTGCGTTTTTATGTTACCCAGATGCCTGGGACCCGGGTATAAAGACCACCAGAGAAGAAGCTTCCAGATGGAGCGTGTTGGGGGAGGGTAGAAGAAAACAATCCTCTACCCAGAAGGATGGACAAGAAATAGTCCTGGGCCCCAGATCCCATGCAATACCTCAAAGGATTACTGTGGCAAAGAGGGCAGGAAACTCTTTCAAACAACACCCACCACAAATACAGAGCAGAGTTCGTCTACCCCGGGAGGGGTAGCAGGAAGTCGAAGAAAGTCTCATTCTCCAAGTCCCACATGCAAAGGGCCTGCCTAAGACTGACACTGGACCAGGACAACAGAGAGCCCTCCTTTCTCCAGCTCCAGCCTAGCAGGCACAGCTCAATAAGCAACGTCAGCCTGCCTCTGGGGAAAGGCAGAAGTGTGTAGAGATCTCCTCTGAACGTCAGGCATGCAGGGGCGTGTGAAACTTAGGGTGGAGCAAAAGCGCTGACCTCCCCACCCCTCATCCTAAGCACAAGCACTGATGATACACCCTAAGCACAAGCACTGATACACCCTAAGCACAAGCACTGATACACCCTAAGCACAAGCACTGATACACCCTAAGCACAAGCGGTTGGTGCACTGAAGGTAACCACAGTAACAACAAAACCCAAACCACGGTCAGTGTCTGACCAGATTGACTCATCCACCTCCCCCCACACACTAATGGCCTGACAGGAAAAGAGACGCACGCATTTCCAGAAGGAACTGATGATGTCTGATATTCAATAAAAAATTATAAGATATGCAAAAAAGCAAGGAAAAACCAAGCCATTGTTGGGAGACAAAGAAATCAATAAAACTGGATTCAAAAGTGACCCAGGGGCTGGGCACAGTTCACCCCTGTAACCCCAGCACATTGGGAGGCTGAGGCTGGAGAGTCGTTTGAGCCTGGTGGTTCGAGGCTGCAGTGAGCTGAGATTGCACCACTGCACTCCAGCCTGGGTAAAAGAGCAAGACACTATCTCTAAAAACAGAAAGTAGAAAGTAAAATCACACAGGTGTTAGAGCTATCAGGTATAAACTTTACAATAACTATAATGAATAGATTAAAAGATCAAGAGTAAAGCATTAAAAACATAAATGAACAGATGGGTAATTTCAGCAGAGAAATGGAAACTATAAGAAAGGTCAAGTGGATATGGTAAAAATCAAAATACGGTATCACAGATGGCTTCCTTCAGTGGGTTCATCAGTATACTTGATACAACCAGGTGTGGAAGCTTTGAATTTGAAAACGTGTAAATGTAAATTGACCAAATTAAAACACAAAGAGAAAGAGAAAGAGAAGGGTGGAGGGAGACAAGAGCAAAACATCAAATCCTCATTTATGGATGTAATTGGAGTCCCTCAAAGAGAAGAAAGAGAGGGCAGGGCAGAAGAAATATTTAAAGAGGTAATAGTTGAGAAATATTCTAAAAATAATGAAATACATAAAGTCCCATATCCAAAAAGTTCGGAGAACCCCAAATTGGGTAACTATATCCCCACCACAAATGACTAGACATGTCACATTAAATCTGTGACTGACAAAAACCAAAGGTAAAAAGGGAAATCTTGAAAGCATCAATATTTTAAAAGCAGACTACGAGCATAAGGACAAAGGTAGAGTTTACATCAGACTTCTAATCAGAAATCACAGGACCGAAAGTACATCTTTAAAATACTGAAAGAAAATCCGTCGACCCTATGACACTAAAAGTGTCTTTCAAAAATGAAAGAAAACACTTTTTCAGATGAACAAAAACTGAAAAGACTTCATTAACAGCACACGTGCACTATAAGAAATTCTTAAAAAATTTCTTTGAGCCAAGGAATATGATAGCAGAGAGACACTTGAATCCACACAAAGAAAAGACCACCTCTTGGCTGGGTGCCGTGATTCATGTCTGTAATCCCAGCACTTTGGGAGGCCGAGGTGGGTGGATCACCTGAGGTCAGGAGTTTGAGGCCAGCCTGGCCAACATGGTGAAACCCCATCCCTACTAAAAATACAAAAATCAGCCAGGCATGGTGGTGGGCCCCTGTAATCCCAGCTACTCAGGAGGCTGAGGCAGGAGAATTGCTTGAACCCGGGAGGCAGAGGTTGCAGTGAGCCAAGATCGCACCACTGCACTCTGTCCTGGGAACAAAAAGAAAAGAAAGAAAAGAAGAGCTCTAGAAATTATTTTAAAAGAAGATAAATATAAATAGGCCGGGCGCGGTGGCTCACGCCTGTAATCCCAGCACTTTGGGAGGCCGAGGCAAGCAGATCGAGACCATCCTGGCTAACACGGTGAAACCCGTCTCTACTAAAAATACAAAAAATTAGCCGGGTGTGGTGGCGGGCGCCTGTAGTCCCAGCTACTCGGGAGGCTGCGGCAGGAGAATGGCGTGAACCCCAGAGGCGGAGGCGGAGCCTGCAGTGAGCCGAGATCGCGCCACTGCACTCCAGGCTGGGTGACACAGAGTGAGACTCCGTCTCAAAAAAAAAAAAAAAAAAAAAAGCATTATAACTAATTGACTGTCCAGAGCAAAAATAGTGACAGTGCATTGTGGGGTTTTTAACATAAGTAAAAGTAAAACATGGCAACAATAACACGAGGAATATAAAAGAGGACATGGAGGTACACTGCCGTAAAGTCCTGCCACTTACAGATGAAGTGGCGTCATATTACCCGGAGGTATCCTTTGTTACAGTAAAGGTATGTATTGTAACTCTTAGGCCAAATAAGTTTGAAAGGACGTATTAGGCTATTATCGCCTTGCTATAAGGAAATACCTGAGACTGGGTAATTTATAAAGAAAGGAGGTTTAATTGGCTCACAGTTCTGCAAGCTGTACAGGAAGCATAATACTGGCATCTGCTCAGCTTCTGGGGAGGCAGAATTGTGAGGAAACTTACAAGCACTGTGGAAGGTGAAGGGGGAGCAGGCACATCACGTGGCCAGAGCAGGAGCAGGAGAGAAAGACGGGGCTGGGGGAGGGGCCACACGCCTTTAAACAACCAGGTCTCCCAAGAACTCACTCACTGTCGCAAGGACAGCACCAAGGGGATGACGCTTAACCATTCATGAGAAATCCACCCCCGTGATCCAATCACCTCCCACCAGGCCCCACCTCCAACACTGGAGATTACAATTCAACATGAGATTTGGGCGGGGACACAAATCCAAACTATATCAAGATGTATACAAAAAGTAGATATAAAAGGGAATAACTAAGAATACTAAACCAAAAAGTGGCATAGAAAGAGGGCAAAGATAAAAAGGAACAGATGGAACAAATAGAATACAATTAGCAAAGTGATATTTTGCTAATATTAAATTAAATGCAAATTAATTTATTAAATTAAATTAAATGCAAATCATCTAAACACCAAAACCAAAAAACAGAGATTTTTAATTGGATTAAATAATTCAGGACCCAACTATATTCTATCTACCAGAAGACTCACATTAAATATAAAAAACATAGATAGGTTAAAAGTAAACAGATGGAAAAATACACCACACAAACATTAATCAAGTAAAATTGGAATGGCTATATTAATATCAAAGTCAACTTCACAAAAGAAATATTACCAAGGATAAAAAGGAATATTACATAATGATAAAGCATCAATTCACCATGGACACGTAACAATTCTAAATGTGTAAGCACCAAACAGCCAACTTTCCAAACACATGCAACAAAAAAACTGAGAAGGGAAAGGAAAAACAGATAAATCAGATTTGTCATTGGACTTCAGCTTCAAGAGAACAAGTAGACAGAAAATCAGGAAGGATACAGAAGGCCTGGACAACACTGTCAATCAACTTGACCTAATGGATATTGACAGAACACTCCACCCAACAATAACAGATACACATTCTTTTCAAGCACATGAAACATTCACCAAAAAGACTATATTGTGCCATAAAATAAACTTCAACCCATGTAAAAAAGTTGAACTAATACAATGTATGTTCTCTGACCACAAAGAAATTCAATTAGACATTAACACCAAAAGGATAGCGAGAAACACCCTGCAGAACTGTAAAGTAACCGACACACTTCTAAATAACCCATGGTTCAAAGAAGAATCACAAGAGAATTTAGAAAATATTTTGAATTAAATACAAATTAAAAGACAACATGTCAAAATATATGGAACATGGCTAAAATAGTGTTTAGAGGGATAAAATTATATCATTAAGTGCTTATATTCACAAAGAAGAAAGTCCTGAAATCAATTATCTAAGTTTGCACTTTAAAGAAAAAAAGAAAATTAAACTCAAAATTAGCAAAAGAAATGAAATAATTAAAAATCTGAAAAAAAAAATGAAGTAGAAAATGGAAAAGAATTCAATGAAAGCAAAAGCTGCTTCTTTGAAAAGAACAATGAAATGAATAAGCATCTAGCCAGACTGAGCGGTAAAATTATAATAAAAAGAAAAAAAAAGACACAAAATAGCAATATTAGGAGTGAAGAAGAGACATCATTACAAATCTTACAATTATTAAAAACATGATACAGGAATGATGTAAACAACTTCATACCATTAAATTTGATAACATACATAAAACTGGCACATTTTTAAAAGACAAAAGTATGAAAGCTTATTCCAGAGAAGTAGGTAGCCTGAATAGTATCATATCTATTAAAGAAGTTGAATTTTCAGTTAAAATCTTTCAACAAATAAAACTAGGGGCAAATGGCCTCCCTGGAAAATTCTACCAAACATTTAAAGAGGAAATATAACCAATTCTACATGAACTCTTCCAGAAAATAGAAGGAAAGGAATCATTCCCGATTAAATTCATAGAGCCAGCATAATCTTGATATCAAATTTGAACAAAAGTATTATAGTACATAGTATATAGAAAACTATATACTATTAATAATATCTCTTATGAATATAGATGCAAAATTCTCAACCAAATACTAGCAAATTAAATCCAGAAATATGTAAAAGAGATAAAAGGTCGTGATCATGTGAGATTTATCCCAAGAATGCAAGGTTGGTTCAGTGTTAAAAAATCAACTTATAATTCACCATATCAACAGACTAAAGAGGAAGCACCATATTATTATCTCAATAGATTCAGAAAAGGCTTTTGACAAAATTCAACATCCATTCAGAATAAAAACTGCTAGCAAACTAGAAATTAAAAGGAACTTCTTTTAAAGAGCATCTATGAAAAACCTATAGCTAATATCATACTTAATGATGAAAGACTATATGCTTTCCCCTTAAAATCAACAACAAAGCAAGAACATTCACTTTTGCCTCTGCTATTTATTACCATACTGGACTTCCTAAACAGTGAAGTAAAAAGCATGCAGCCTGGAAAGAAAGAAATAACACAGTCTCTATTAACATATTACATTATTGTCTACCTAGAAAATCCCCAAAATTCTACAATAAAGCTACAAGAACTAGTAAGTGAATTTAACAAGGTCAAAGAAAAAATGCCAATATACAAAAATCGATTTTATTTTAATATACTAGCAATGAACAATCAGAAATTGAAACTTAAAAATAGTACCATAATAGCATTAAACTTATAAAATACTTAGGGATAAATTCTGGGGGAAATATATAAAATGTATACATTGAAAACTACAAAATATTGATGAGAAGAATCAGAGAAAACCTAAATAAATAGACCATGTTATGGATTGCTGGATATGTCGACTCTCCCCAAATTGATCTATATAGTTTCAATACACTCCCAATCAAAATCTCAGCACAAATTCTGTAGATATTGATAAGCTTATTCAAATATCTATATGGAAAGACAAAGAAACTAGAGTAGCCTAAACAACTTCTTAAAAGAAGAACAAAATTGGAGAACTCACACTAGCTGATTTCAAGACCTACTATAAAGCTGCATTTATCAGGGCAGGATGGTGTTGGCAAAAAGATACTTAGCATATGACCCAGCTATTCCACTCCTAGACATTTACCCAAGAGAAAGAAACAAATACGTCCATGCAAAAACCTGGACTTGCTAACAAATGCCCCATGTGGAGCACTAGCATCACAGAACTTGGGCTCCAAGTGGCCCTGAGGGCCACAGCTCCAGAGGGCGGGGGCTGAGCCAGGCCTCATCCATGCTTCTCTGTGCACAGGGCAGGTAGGTTCTCCAGAAGCATTTTTTGGTTACCAACCCTCCCTCCTCTCATGCTCTGATTTCCAGTTTGACCTCTAACTCCCAGCCTGGGGGACCAGAGTGCTTACGTGTGTGCATAAGTGTGTGCACGTTGTATAGTGCACACATTGGGTGTGTTCATGGATTCGAATGTGTTCGGCTGCAAGCATTTATATGTCTGGGTTGATTGGTTCCATTTCTCACTCAGTTTTATCCAAAGCCTCCCAGTTTAAACTACACAATAGGTCCCTGACCACCTTGCCTAAAAGATGATGAAACCAGTTTTTTAACCCTAAACTCAACACTTGCCTCCAAGGCAAATAAAAATCTTGGAATCGAAGGCAGCCAGTAGTGAGAACGTTCTTCAGGGGACAGTTCTGGGCTATGCTATCTGGAATAGCAGACTCCTGGGGCAAGAGGGCTGGCCCATCTACTGGGGAACGTTTAACCTGAGACAGTCACAGCAGAGCCCCCCAGGAGGGGAATACAGCCCAGACAGGGGAAATGCAGAAGAATGCTACCAGCACAACGCAGACTGGGAAAAGCAAGTTCCAGATTACATTCTGAATAATTTCCTTTTCATATCACCAGAAATTACTAAATTAGAAAACACCCATTTCAGGAATACATAGAGATATGACTCAACTCTATTTTTTCTAGAAAGTAACAGAATAAGGAGCACACAATCCCAACAGTGGCTGCCCCAAGAAGTTCTTGGTAAATTATTGATGATGTTCTCATTTCTATGTCAGGCAGTGGGTTCATGCGGGTTTATTATATTAGGATCCTCAGTAATTGATCATCAGTCAATCAATAAAAACCAAGCCTTTGTGGACCAGTGATGGGAGTGTGTGCCGCAGAACTAATCCAGTTCTGTAAACTTGAGATCCTCCGCGACCTGGGAAACAGGACGTCCACCAACCACATCAGAAAACCCAATTGTCAATGCTCTGAGGCTTTGGCCATCAGTGCAGGGCTTGTTGGCCTGGAGCAGGAGTGGACAGCCAGTGGGGAAGCGAGACCACTCTACCACAGGCGGGTAAGTCACTTCTGTGGCCACTGCACCTGGGCCCCAGGAGCCCTGGGAGAGACCACATGGGCATCTGCAGCTGCGCCCTCCACCCGGGACACCACCTTCTGATGAGCACTGGGTGAAGGGATCACTGAAGAGGGTTTAGCAGCAAATTCTATGTAATCAGCAGAATAGATAGCAGGGAGTATGGAAATAAAAAAGAAAGACCAGAAATGCAGAGCTGCATGGGGAAAGCTGGTTTATTTGGCTCTCATGGGGTCAGAGAATGACTCTGGGACCCCAGACTTCCCTGGGGGGATGGGCAAGGTCAGCAAGGGCTCCAGATCATTCTGTCACATTCTCAATCCAGAATTCAGAGGGTTCAACTGAGCATGCTTTTCACCTGCACCATGTGCAGAAGACCAACTGAGGACTCATCCAGGGAGTGTACAGGTGTGGCCTCATCTGCACTGGGAGCAGCGGGTCTGGAGATTCATGCTCAGCAGCAGGAAGAGATACTGTAGGAGATGGGTCTGCAGAGGACGCTGGTGCAGGAGGGCTGGCAGCACCCAGAGGACTGGCAGGACGGAGCCGCATACACGACAGGCCTGCAGCTCACAGGCACGCACAGGGAGGACTGGCAGGAGGGGGCTGCACACACAATGGGCCTGCAGCTCACAGGCACACACACAGAAGACTGGCAGCTCACGGGCACGCACACAGCTGACTTGAAGCTCATGGGCACACACACAGAAGACTGGCAGCTCACGGGCAGGCACACGGCTGGCTTGAAGCTCACGGGCACACACACGGAGGACTGGCAGCCCACAGGCACACAGCAGGATGCCTGGCAGGAGCTGGGCACACAACAGGCTGGCTGGCAGGGGCTGGGCGCGCAGCAGGCTGGCTGGCAGCCCGAGGAGCAGCTGGTATGACACATGGTGGCGTGTGGCTGGATAAGGTCGAGGCAGAGGGCAGTGATGTCTGGGGACGGCCTCCCTGGGCAGCCTTTATACCTGGGCCCAGGCATCCCCACAGCACAGAAGCACACCTGTCTTCCTTGTTTTTCTTCCTCAGTGCTGTCTCCTGGAGCTTAATTTTCTGTTGTAGGTGTCTCTGGGTTTTGTTTGGCCCTTAGCTTCATGACTAATTGCACCTTCTTCGAACTCTTGGTATGCTTGGAAACCTGCCAGAGTGTTTTACTGGCTTCATCAAGATTCTTCCTTGTTCTTTAAAATTTTACCTGAGTTACTTTTGTGAGATTCCAAAAACTCAGATCTCCAGATTTTTTTCCTCTCTGTGTGATGATGGTCCTTAAACCACAGAAGTTTACACTCCTCTCATGGCTCAGGAAGGCTCCACAGTCAATGTGAGGTAGAACAGGACGTGTCTAGCTGATCTGTGGGTGTCCTGAGAGCTTAGAGCTGGATGAGAGCTAGCAGATGGAGGAAGAACATGGAAATCACTTGTCCATAGGATGAGTGGGGACAAAGGGTGTGGGTCACAGAGAACTTCTTGTGAGTGGTGACCATGGATCTTTGTCTTGAGAAATCCTCCTAGTTAAGAACCAAGATGAGACAACACCACTGGCCCTCATGCATGGAGACACAGCTCTAAGGAAATCAAGCTGGTCCAAGCATGTTCCCAGGGAAGCATGTGAGGCCAGTGAAGGGTCCCATGGACAGCCACAGCAGGATATGTGTGAGCTGAATATAGAAGGTTCCAAGGGCCAGAATGACTTCTGGGTATGTTCAGCAGAAAGCCATGTGCACCCTGTACTGCAGGGACAGTAGAATCTCTGAGCCTACAGATGTCAACACCAGATCACTTGGAACTTGGCATCATGATAACAGAATGAAGGAAAAAACCACGTGATCATCTCAATTGATATAGAAAAGGCATTTCACAAAATTCAAGATTCTTTCATGATGACAACAATCAACAAACTAAGAATAGAAGAAAACTACCTCAACACAATACAAGCCATACATGAAAGACCCACAGCAAGCCTCATACCCACTGGTGAAAAACTGAAGGCTTTTTCTCTAATATTGGGAACAAAGCCAGCATAGTACTAGAAGTTTTACTAAGAGCAACTAGGCAATTGTTTTTAAAAGGAAGAAAGAAAGAAACAAAAAGCATCCAAATTGAAAAGCAAGAAGTAAAGTTAGCTGTGTTCACAGATGACATGATTTTTATATGTAGAAAACTCTAAATATTCCACACACAAAAATTTTAGAATAAATGAATTCAGCAAAGTAGCAGGATACAAAAGCAAAACACAAAAATCAGTTCTATTTCCATAAACTAACAAGCATAATCTCAAAAGGAAAGTACAATAACAATTCCATTTACAATACATTAAAAAGAACAAAATACTCAGGAGTTAACCAAAGAATTAAAATAATTGTGTAACAAAAACTACAAAACGTTGAAAGAAATTAAAGGCAACAGAAATAAATGGAAACACATCCCATGTTCATGAATTGGAAATTAATATTGTTAATATGTCCATACTAACCAAAGCAATCTACAGATTCAATGCAATCCCTGTCAAAATCCCAAGGACATTTCTTGCAGAAATAGAAAAACCCATCCTAAAGTTTATGTGGAGTCTCAAGGGACCCTAAATAGCCAAATCAATCTTAAGAAAAGAATAGAGCTGGAGGAGTCACACTTTCTGATTTCAAAACTTACTACAAAGCTACACTAATCAAAACTGTGGTACTGGCATAAAGACCAATATATAGACTAATGGAATAGCATAGAGAGCCCAGAAATAAACTCTCACAACTACAGTCAAATAATTTTCGGCAAGGCTGTCAAGACCTTTCAGTGAGGGAAGAACAGACTTTTTAACAAATGGCAGTGGGAAAACAGGATATCCACACACAAAAGATTATTTTTAACCCTTACCTCACACCATATACAAAATTAACTCAAGATCAAAGATAGAGAATCTCAGTAGGGAAATTGAAACTATTTTTTAAATGGGAATGCTAGAACTAAAATGTACAATAGCTGATATTTTAAAATCCACATGATAGACGTAAATATAGAATGAGATTGAAGAAGAGTTCATGAACTTGAAGCACATCAATAGAAATTATCCAAAATGAAGGAGAGGAAGAAAAAGAATTAAGAAAAATGAAAAGAGCCTGTGAGACATCATTAAACAGCATCACATATATGTAATATCAAACTCAGGTGGCTCACGCCTGTAATCCCAGCACTTTGGGAGGGCAAGGCGGCTGGATCATGAGGTCAAGAGATCGAGACCATCCTGGCTAACATGGTGCAACCCCGCCTCTACTAAAAATACAAAAATTAGCTGGGTGTGGTGGCACGTGCCTGTAGTCCCAGCTACTTGGGAGGCTGAGGCAGGAGAATCACTTGAACCCGGGAGGTGGAGTTTGCAGTGAGGTGAGATTGCACCACTGCACTCCAGCCTGTGACAGAGCAGGACTCCATCTCAAAAAAAATTAAATAAAAAAATAAAGCACTGGGCATTCTCCCCTAAAACACAAAGCTACAAACACAGAGCCTCCTCCACCCCTCAGCATCAAGGGGGCAAGGGTGAGGGGTTGGAGGGCTGTACTTTCAGTTAAAGAGAGGCTAGCTGTGTGCCTGCAGTATGGACTAAGGAGCCTGGAGCCTGGACTGAGGCTGCCAGGCTGAAAACCGAGACCATGACATCAGGTTCCAGCACACTCCATTGCTACTGGCAACAGCCATCCCAGTATTCCCACCATTCTCCTCCTCGGCTTACGGATCACCCGCAGGAGGTGGCGTGCCTTGTTGGGATGAACATCCGGATGCCCTTTGCCCCAGCAGTCCCACCCCCAGAGGTCCTACCCCCAGAACACTAACAAACAAATTGTGGAATAGGTTTGCAAATGTTTATATCAGCACCATCTGTAATAGCAGACTCTTGGGAACAACAGGCCTGCCCATCTACTGGGGGGCATTTAACCTGAAGTAGAAACAGCAGAACCCCAGGAAGGAGGCACGCTGAATACAGAATACACCCACAAGAAATGCAGAGGACCCTTAGCAACTCTGTACAGAGTGGGAGACATAAGTCTCAGAAGATTACTCAGAATAATTCCCTTTTAATATCATTCAAAACCACTAAATTAGAAAACACACATTTCAGGAATACAAAGAGATATGACTCAACTCTATTTTTTCTAGAAAGTAACAGAATAAAGGGCACATAATCCCAACAGTGGCTGCCCCAAGAAGTTCATGGTAAATTATTGATGATGTTCTAGTTTCTGTGTCAGGTAGTGGGTTCATGGTTCATAGGTGGGGGGGTTGTTATAATCATTAATAATTGATCAATCAGTAAAAAGTGGGCAGGCTCAAGAGGGCTGACTAGAGGCACCTGACACTTGCCTCTTCCACAAAGAACCCAAAAGAGTGAGAGGTAACAACATTTTGAATGGGACATCTGAGAGAGACACTGGAATTCAGCAAAGAAGCAACTGGAATTCAGCAAAGAAGCGACAGGAAATATCTGAGGCACAGAAGGCAAGGGAAGGGAGGCAGCTGGCCCAGCTAGAATCAGTCGGGAGCCCACAGAGACTCCCCAGTCCAGGGAAATGGTAAATGAGAGATTCCCAGCTGTCTACATTTCCACCATGGATTCAGCATGGACCTGAAACCCTAGCCATGGGAGAGCCTCTTATTCTTCACATGCCCTGAGACTTACATAGGGATTTGCCAGGATGCCACATAATGGCATTGCTCCAGAGAAAGAGCCCACACTGGGTCTCACACACCCACCAGGTCCTGAGCAGCTGTAGCATGGTGCCATTTTGAGAGCCCAGCCCCTAAAAGTCTGCATCCTGCCCTGGGGCCCAACAGATCTTGTATCTCCACATCCCTTCAGCTCTGCCGAATCCCACAACCCCCACCAACCCAAGAGGGCTGCAGGAGTGCAATACCAGCTGGATGCATCAATAAGGCAGGGGTTCATGAACTTGCATGTACCCTGAGTACAGGCTTTCCCCACCCACCATCATAAATTACCCCACACTATTCACCATAGCCTGTGTCCATGCACACTGTGTGGCCTGGCACTGCACCCTCAGTGCCCAAGCATACCATCTGGGGGCCTGGTGGTCCCCCCCAACCCATTCTACCAATGCCAGCCATCTATGCACTCCTCCCAGGGACCTGAGGATGTGCCCACCCAGCATGCCACTACCACCAGCGCTCACTTGCATGTGCCACCTGGGAGCTTGGGGACTGGCTTGCCCAGCCTGTCACAACCACCACTTATATTAGGAAGTGCTGTCTGAGAGCCCAAAGGCTGTCCCACCATTGCTACTACCATCATCCATGTCAGGCACACTGCCCAGCGGCCCAAGGACCCATCCATGCATCCAACCCACTGCTGCCACTGCTAGCACATAAGCAAGCTGTCTGGAGGCCCAAGAATCAGCCTGCCTGGACATGGTAACACCAGTGCCAGCATATGCTACTCAGGGGCCTAAGGACAGGCACATTTGGCCCACTGCTGCCACCACTGGGGCCTGAGATTTGGCCAACCTGGTGTTTCTGACCCCAGAAAAGCCTCACCACAGCCTCCACTGACAACCACAGCCAAGCTGCTGAGGAAATCACAAACACTAGTGATGCTGTTCACAGCCAAAGAAATCATACAGAGACTAAACTACTGCATGCACCCAGAATCATAGCTAAAGTATTCCAACCAGCCACCGCCATAGACACATCTGCAGGAAAAAGTCTTCTCATAAAAAAGCCAGTCCCCAAAATTGGAAGAAGTGATTGTTATGTCAGATGTGCAGATATCAATATAAGGACTCAAGAAACATGAAAAAACAAGGAAATGTCACACCTCCAAAGGGACACAAGAATTGTGCAACAGATTCAAATGAAAAAGAAATGTATGAATTACCAGAAAAATAATTCAAAATAATGATATTAAGGATATTCTGTGAGATATAAGATAACATGGATAAACTATACAAATAAACCAGAAAAACAGTTCAGGATATGAATGAGAAAATCACCAAAGAGACAGATATCATAACCAAAGAATCCAACAGAAATCCTGGAAATGAATAATTCAATACATGAAATAAAAAATCCATTTGAGAGCTTCAACAATATACCAGATCAAGCAGAAGAAAAAATTTCAGAAGTTGAAGACTGGTCTTTTGAAACAACTCAGTCAGACAAAAAGAAAAAAAGAAGAATAAACAAAGCCTATGTAACATATGGAACACTATAAAGTGAGCAAATATTCTAATATTGGATGTTCCAGAAAACAAAGAGAAGCCCAAAGGCATAGAAAGCCTATTTAGCAAAATAGGCCAGGCACAGTGGCTCACGCCTGTAATCCCAGCACTTTGGGAGGCTAAGGCGGGCGGATCACAAGGTCAGGAGATTGAGACCATCCTGGCTAACACGGTGAAACCCCGTCTCTACTAAAAATACAAAAAATTAGCCGGGCGTGGTGGCAGGTGCCTGTAGTCCCAGCTACTCGGGAGGCTGAGACAGGAAAATGGCGTGAACCTGGGAGGCGGAGCTTGCAGTGAGCAGAGATGGCGCCACTGCACTGCAGGCTGGGCGATAGAGCAAAACTCCGTCTCAAAACAAAAAAAAAAGAAAACCTATTTAGCAAAATGATAGGTGAAAATTTCCCTAGTCTAGCAAGAGATTTAAACATTCAGATGCAGGAAGCTCAGAGATCCTGATATGGTTTGGATTTCTATCTCTGCCCAAATCTCGTGTTGAATTGTTATCCTCAATGCTGGAGAAGGGGCTGAGGGGGAGGGGATTGGATCATGGGGGCAGATTTCCCCCTTGCAGTTCTCCTGATAGTGAGTTCTCACGAGATCTGGTTGTTTAAATATGTGTAGCACCTCCCCCTTTTCTCTCTTCCTCCTGCTCCAGCCATGTAGGACATTCCAGCTTCCCATTTGCCTTTTGCATTAATTATAAGTTTCCTGAGGCTTCCCAACCCACGCTCCTTGTACAGCCTGCAGAACCATGAGCCAATTAATCCTCTTTTCTTTATAAATTACCCAGTCTCAGGTAGTTCTTTATAGCAATGCAAGAACGTACTAATACAGATCCCCAAATAGATACAATTCAAAAAGATCTTTTCCATGGCACATTATAGTCAAACTGTCAAAAGTCAAAGACAAGGAGAGAATTCTAAAAATAGCAAGAAGAAAGCAACTAGTCATATATAAGGAAACCCCCATCAGACTAACAGTGGATTTCTCAGCAGAAACCTTACAGGTCAGGACAGAATGGGATGATATATTCAAAGTGCTGAAAGAAAGAAACTGACAGACAAGGATACTATACTCAGCAAAATTATCCTCCATAAATAAACAGAAATAAAATCTTTCATGGACAATCAAAAGCTGAGGGTATTCATCACCACTGGACCAGCCATACAGGAAATTCTTAAGAGAATATTACAATTCTAAATCTATATGCACCCAATACCAAAAGAGTCTGATATACAAGCAAATATTATTAGATCTAAAGGAAGAGACAGACTCCAATACAATAATAGTTGAGGACTTCAACACCCCACTCTCACCATTAGACATATCATCCAGACAGAAAATCAACAACAACAAAAAAATTGGATTTATACTGAACTTTAAAGCAAATGGACCTAATAGGCATTTAAAGAACATTTCATCTAACAGCTGCAGAATACACATTCTTCTCATAAGCACATGGAACATTATTCAGGACAGACCCTATGTTTGGCCACAAAACAAGTCTCAACTAACTTTAAAAAATCAAAATAATATCAAGTATCTTCTCAGACCACAATAACTAAAACTAGATATTAATAACAAGAAGAGCTTTGGAAACTGTACAAATATGTGGAAATTGAACAACATGTTCCTAAATGGCTACTGGGTTAATGAAGACATTAATAAGGAAATCAAAAAATTTCTCAAAAAAAAATAAAAAGGGAAACACGACATATCAAAACCTATAGGCTACAAAAATAACAGTGCTAAGAGGGACGTTAGTAGTAATAAATGCCTACATCAAAAAGGTAGATGTGGTGGTGCCTATAGTCCCAGCTGCTAGGGAGGTTGAGGTGAGATGATCACTTGAGCCCAGGAGTTTAAGGCCAGTCTGAGCAACACAGTAAGACTCCATCTCAAAAAAAAAAAAAGTAGAAAGATTTCAAATAAACAATCCAATGATGCACCTCAAGGAACTAGAAAGGCAAGAACAAACCAAATCCAAAATTAGTAGAAGGAAAGAGACAATAAAGTATATAGCTAAACAAAATAGACTTTAAAAAAATACAAAGAAGTAACAAAACAAAAAGTTGGTCTTTTAAAAAGATAAAAAAAAATCAATAAACAGCTAGCTAGGCTAACCAAGCAAAAAAGAAAGAAGACCCCAATACACAAAATCAGAAATGAAAAAGGAGACATTACAACTGATACCATGGAAATACAAAAGATCATCTGGCTGGGCACGGTGACTCATGTCTGTAATCCTAGCACTTTGGGAGGCCAAGGCAGGTGGATCACTTGAGCCCAAGAGTTTGAGACCAGCCCGGGCAACATGGCAAACACCCAACTCTATAAAAAATACAAAAATTAGCTAGTTATGGTGGCACATGCCTGTAGTCTCAGATGCTGAGAAGGCTGAGGTGGGAAGATCACCTGAGCCCAGGAGGTGGAGGCTGTGGTGAGCCATGACCACACCACGACTGGGTCATTGCACTCCAGCCTGGGTGACAAAGGGAGACTCTGTCTTTAAAGTGTGTGTGTGTGTGTGTGTGTGTGTGTGTGTGTGTGTGTGTGTGTGTGTGTGTATAACATTACCAGAGACTATGCTCTAAAAACTGGTAAACCTAGAGGAAATGATAATTTCCTGGACATACACAACCTACCAAGATTGAATTAAAAAAAAAAAGAAAACCTGAATAGACCAATAATGAATAACCAGATTGAATCAGTAATAAAAAGTCTCCCAGCAAAGAAGAGCCCAGGCCTGAATGGCTTCACTGCCAAATTATACCAAACACATGAAGAACCAACACTAATTCTCCTCAAATTGTTCCAAAAAATTGAAGAGGAGGGAACTCTTCTTAACTCACTCTATGAGGCCAGAATTACCTTGATACCGAAAGCAGACAAAAATACAGTAAAAAAAGAAAAGTACAGACCAATATCCCCAATGAACATAGATGCAAAACTCCTCAACAAAATACTAGCAAACTGAATCCAGCAGCCCATCGAAAAGATAATATACCATGATCAAGTGGAAATTATCATACAGATGCAAGGGTGATTCAACATACACAAATCAATAAACATGATATATCACATTAACAGAATGAAGGACAGAAAGTATATGAGCATCTCAATAGATGCAGAAAAAGCATTTGACAAAATTCAATATCCTTCATGATAAAAACTCTCAACAAACCATGTACAGAAGAAACATACCTCAAAATAATAAAGGCCATGTATGACAGACCCACAGCTAACATCATATTAAATGGAAAAAAGCTGAAAGCCTTTCTTGTAAGAACTGAATGAGACAAGGATGCATTTTTTTTTTTCAGTTTTCATCTTGTTTATTCAGTTTGCTCCGAGGGCAAAATCAACAGTAGTAGAGATCACAAACATTATTTTGATTGGCCTCACAAGTCTGATCAGTAAAATCCGAAAAACAGAAAATGTTACACGAGTTGCAAAGAAAGCACTCCTGGAGTTCACTGACATGATAGCAAGTGGAAAGAATATAAATGCAACAGGTGTTAACATTTAGAACAGTACTTGTAAGCCTGCTCATGTCTAGACAATTCTGGGACCCTTGCGGCAAACCCTTCATGTATCACTGCTGATTTCCTTGACATGAAATACGACTTTACGAAAATCTTCCTAGACCTTACTCTGGCTGTACTTGAGTGGTTCTTGTGCCTACGGCGCTGGCATATGCTGTCAGGATTTCCATTATCTGTTTCGTTTCTAGGGTTATTCGGGCTTCCTTCAGCCAGTCTTGTGCCACTTATCTGGATTCTCCCTTCAGCTGATTGACAAATTTTGCTACTAGCTCCAGATCACCATGCTCAATGCAATAGGAGGCATATGACAGTAATTTAAACGTGTTTATATCTTCAGATCAGAGCTCTGCAGCTTCAGTTGCTGAGGCGGGAATAGAAGCAGGGACTGCAGGTAGGAGAAGAAGTACTGGTACAAGCTATTTCTGGTTTAATCAATCATTGCTACCCTTCGGGCCAGTTTTTGAACAGCATAAAAGCGGACTCTAAGGGTCTCTTCACTGTACACCCCATGGGTCAGGGACTCTGGAGGGATAGCTGTGGCTAAAGCTTTAGTAAATTCATTATCAGAACAGTTGGCTTTGATGGCCTCAACTGCACTACCCAGTGGGACAGCAGGCATTTCTGCAGATGAGGTCTTCATGCTGTACTTTAATGCCTCCACTGAAAGCCAGAGTTGGTAGGCTTTTCTGGCTTCCTCTTCAGCAACTGCATGACTCTGAACAGCGTGTTCGATTCCTCTGAGTCTGGCATAGGCGGTATTTATATCCAGAGTAAAGTTGTGAACTTGCTCTTGACTTAGATGATGAAACTGTAATTCTTGTTCCGAGAGTTTCTCAGACAGGTTCTGCTCAAATTCATACTTCAATTCCTGTTCTTGAACCCTAAGGACATCTCACAAGTGATCAGTGTGGGCAGCTGCCTGTCAGTGAAGCTAGGTTCTCATTTCATTCTCCATGGCATCTCTGACTTCCTCTACGTTTCTGTCCTATTCAGCCTGCATTTTACTTCCATGATGTTCTAATGCTTTTGCTACTACAGAGTCAAATGCCCACTTTTCTTCCAGCGTTTGTTTCTCCAAGGCTAATGTGATGTGCTGCTTTTCTGTGGCCTTCTGTTCTGCTAGCTCTCTGTTCAGCTGATCGATGTGACGATGTGCACGGGCAATCAGGGAGTTCAGATCATCAGTAGAGAGCTTGTCAGCTGGGTCCGAAACGCTCATTCCTTTCCACCCAGGAAGGACTTCTGGAGTAATACTGTCCAGCTGTCGTTTAAAGTCATCCTGAGCTTGGCCCACCAGCTCATGATACTGAGATACAAGCTTAGACTCAAATTGAGCTGCTTGGACCTTTTTGACCACATTATCCAGATCAACTATCATGTTGTGAAGTTTATATGAGGCTTGGCCCCAGCAACCTCTTCTTTCTTTGCATTTTCAGTCACACTTTTCATCTTCTCTACCTCTTCTTTGGCTTTGAGAAGGGCATTGGCAGCTTCATCTACTGCCTTTCTGTGTTCCTTCAACGCACCTTGCACTGTGTGCCACTTAGCAGACTTCTTCTTGCCCTCAATCTCAGAATTGTCCATGGCGGCTTTCAATATGTTGGAGTGTGCATTGACAGCCTGGACCACAGTGTTCTGAGCTGCAATCGCCTGCAGAGTGACATTTGCAGTTTGCCTCAGAGCATCTTCAAAGCTCTTGGCTAGAGACTCAGTTTTAACTTGTTCTTGTTTTTCCTCTTGTGCAAGGCAAGCTGCAATTTCTTCACATGGTCGTTCCCTTATAGAAGATGAGGATGCTTCTTCTGAAAGTGCAGGTGTGGGTTTTCCTTCATCAATTGCAGGGTGATCAGTTTTTAAAGATTCCTCATGCTGAACCCCAGGGACCAACACTGTATCACCTGCGGTTGCTGAAGCTGGAGTATCTCCCTTTTGTTTTTGGAGTTGTGAGGCAGGCTGTTTAAATTCTTTTGTTACTTCTGATACACTAGAGATTTTTAGTGGACCAGACTGAGTTGATTTCTTTGGCAATGGAACATTATAAGGTGCAGAACCAAGAACCACCTCGAAGAGTTTGTCTGAGTAAGGTATGGTTTTCTCTACTCTTTCTCGGAAATGGGAAGCCCATTTGGCATATAGGATAGTGCCACCAATACCTCCACCAAAAAACAAAAGGCCAGCTCCAGCAATGTTGCCAGTAGTCAACCACAGAGCTGCCTGAAGTAGAGTATCGGCGGCATGGTCACAGTGGACGGAGGACTAACTTCCCATAGAGACAACTCTGGGCCACAGCGGTCACACTCGATAACTGACAGGCCCGCAGTATCTGTCGAGCGGACGGTGCTGCTGGTGGATGCGGGAGCTGCCATGGCGGCACGAGTAAGTGGAGGCATGTGTACATATGTCAAGGATGCCTATTTTTATCACTCCTATTGATATGGTTTGGATCTGTGTCCCCACCCAAACTTGAAATGTAATCCCCAGCGCTGGAGGTGGAGCCTGGTAGGAGGTGATTTGATCATGAGGGCCATTTCTCATGAATGGTTTAACACCATCCCTCTTGGTGGTATTGTCATGATAATCAGTTCTTGTGAGATCTGGTTGTTTAAAAGTGTGTGGCATCCTCACCCCACCCACACTGCTCCAGAATGTGAAGCACTGGTGCCCCTTTTGCCTTCTGCCATGACTGTAAGCTTCCTGAGGCCTCCCTAGAAGCAGAAGCCTCTATGGTTCCTGTATAGCCTGCAGAACCATAAGCCAATTAAACCTCTTTTCTTTATAAATTACCCAGTCTCAGGTATCTTTATAGCAATGTAAGAATGGACTAATACACCTATTCAACATAGTACTGGAAGTCCAATCCAGTGTAATCAGGTAAGAGATAGAAATAAAAGCTGTCCCAATTGGAAGAGAGGAAGTCAAATTGTCCCTCTTTGCACATGACATGATTTTATATTTAGAAAAATCTAAAGACTCCACCAAAAAACTATTAGAACTGATAAACAAATTTAGTAAAGTTGCAGGATACAAAATCAACATATAAAAATCAGTAGTGTTTCGATACACCAATAACAAACTAGCTGAAAAAGTAAGCAAAAAGGCAATCCATGAAGGCTAAAACAACTCCATCTTGGATGCTAATCTGCCATATGGACTTCTAGTTAACCTGTTCTGGGAAGGCCTCTAAAATTTCCAGTTTATCTACTGTTCCTTGTATAAGAGCACATACTATAAATCCTGCTTCAAAACAACCTTGACGTTATCCTACTTCAATTGGTCTACAGAGCCCTTCTAAATCACATATACCCTTTCCTTATGGTATATAAGCCTTGGGTCTGGAGGGGTAATGGCACAGGGATCCACCAGCTTATCTTACCACCACCCAAGACACAGACATGGCTTCTGTTTTAAGTCCTTATTAAATGTTTCTTTCTGAGAAACTGGATTTGTCAGCCTCTTTCTGTGGCCTCTCAGCTTCCTTGAACTTTGGGGGTAGGTTTGCATAGACCTGCCCATGGAACACAATCTCATTCACAATAGCTATTTTAAAAATAAAATACCTGGCAATAAATATAACCAAGGATGTGAAAGACCTCTGCAAAGAAAACTACAAAACACTGATAAAATAAATTGAAGAAGACACAAACAAATGGAAAGACATTCCATGTTCATGGATCAGAAGAAATGATATTGTTAGAAAGATCATACTATCCAAAGCAATCAACAGACTCAATGCAATCTCTATCAAAATGCCAATGACATGTTTCACAGAAGTAGAAAAAACAGTCCTAAAATTCATATGGAACCAAAAAGGACCCTGAATAGCCAAAGTTATCCTGAACAAAAAGAACAAACCTGTAGGTATCACACCGCTTGACTTCAAAATATATTACAAGGCTAAACAGCATAGTATTGGTATAAAACCAGACACATAGATCAATGGAACAGAATAGAGAACCCAGAAATAAATCCATATATTTACAGCCAATTGATTTTCAACAAAGGTGCCAAGAACATACAATAGAGAAAGGACACCCCTTCAATAAATGGTGCTGGGAAAACTGGATAGCCACATGCAGAAGAATGAAACTGGATCCCTACCTCTCATCATATACAGAAATCAACTCAAGATGTATCAAAGCCTTAAACATAAGACCGAAAACCATAAAGCTACTAGAAGAAAACATAAATGAAATGCTCCAGGACATTGGTCTAGGCAAACAGTTTATGGCTAAGACTACAAAAACACAGGCAACAAAAACCAAAATAGACAAATGAGATTATATTAAACTGAAAAGCTCTGCACAGCAAACGGAACAATCAACAGAGTGAAGAGACAACCTGTGTAATGGGAGAAAATATTTGTAAACTATGCATCTGACAAGTGACTAATATCCAGAATATGTAAGGAACTCAAACAACTCAACAACAACAACAAAACAAATAATTCCATTAATAAATGGGCAAAGCACCTGAATAGGCATCTCTCAAAAGAAGACATACAAATGGCCAACAGGTATATTAAAAAAAACTCAACATCACTAATCATCAGGGAACTTCAGATCAAAACTACAATGAGATAGCATCATCTTACCCCAATTAGAATGGCTATTATCAAAAAGACAAAAAATAACAGATGCTGGTAAAGATGTGGAGAAAAGGGAACTCTTATACATCATTTGTGGAAGTGTAAATTAGTACAGCCATTATCAAAAACGGTATACAGATTTCTCAGAAAACTAAAATAAAACTACCATACTATCCAGCAATCCTGCTACTATTTATTCAAAGGATAGGGAATTGGTGTATCAAAAAGATACCTGCACCCCCATGTTTATTGCAGCACTATTCACAATAGCCAAGATACAGATTCAACCTAAATGTCTATCAATAAATAAATGAATCAAGAAACTGTGGTATATATTTACAATGGAATCTTATTCGGCCATAAAAAAGAATGAAGTCCTGCCATTTGCAGCAACATGGATGGAACCGAAGGTCATTAAAGACAAATATTACATGTTCTCACTCACATGTGGGAGTTCACAAAGTTGATCTCATGGAAGTAGAGAGTAGAATGATATTACCAGAGGTGAAGAACGGTGTGTGTTAGAGGAGAAGTGAGTTTGGTTAATGGGTACAAACATACAGTTACACAGAAAGAATAAGTTCTAATATTTGATAGCAGCATAGGGTGACTACAGTTAACAATGTATTGTATGTCTCAAATCAGCTAGAAGAGAGAGTGTAAAATGTCCTCAACACAGAGAAATGATAGACAAGGTGATGAATATCCTGATTTCATCATTACGTATCCTCTGTGTGTAAAGTATTTCATATGCCCCATAAATATGTAAACATATTATGTATCAATTTTTAAAAAGTGCCATATGTAGATCAGTGATGGGAGTGTGTGCTGCAGAACTAATCCAGTTCTGTAAACCTGAGATCCTCCGCGACCCGGGAAGCAGGACATCCACCAACCACATGGGAAAGCCCGATCCTCAGTGCTCTGAGGCTTTGGCCATCAATGCAGGGCTTGCTGGCCTGGAGCAGGAGTGGACAGCCAGTGGGGAAGCGAGGCCACTCCACCACAGGCGGGTAAGTCACCGCTGTGGCCACTGCAGCTGGGCCCCAGGAGCCCTGGGAGAGACCACATGGGCATCTGCAGCCGCGCCCTCCACCCGGGACACCACCTTCTGATGAGCACTGGGTGAAGGGATCACTGAAGAGGGTTTAGCAGCAAATTCTATGTAATCAGCAGAATAGATAGCGGGGAGTATAGAAATAAAAAAGAGAGACAAGAAACGCAGAGTTGCATGGGGAAAGCTGGTTTATTTGACTCTCATGGGGTCAGAGAATGACTCTGGGACCCCAGACTTCCCTGGGGGGATAGGCAAGTTCAGCCAGGGCTCCAGATCATTCTATTATATTCTCGATCCAGAATTCAGAGGGTTCACTGAGCATGCTTTTCACCTGCACCATGTGCAGAAGACCAACTGAGGACTCATCCAGGGAGTGTACAGGTGTGGCCTCATCTGCACTGGGAGCAGCGGGTCTGGAGATTCATGCTCAGCAGCAGGAAGGGGTGCTGCAGGAGATGGGTCTGCAGAGGACGCTGGTGCAGGAAGGCTGGCAGCACCCAGAGGACTGGCAGGAGGGAGCCGCATACACGACGGGCCTGCAGCTCACGGGCACGCACACAGAGGACTGGCATCTCACGGGCACACACACGGCTGGCTTGAAGCTCACGGGCACGCACACGGAGGACTGGCAGCCCACGGGGATGTAACAGGATGCCTGGCAGGGGCTGGGCGCGCAGCAGGCTGGCTGGCAGCCCGAGGAGCAGCTGGTGTGGCACATGGTGGCGTGTGGCTGGATAAGGTCGAGGCAGAGGGCAGTGATGTCTGGGGATGGCCTCCCTGGGTAGCCTTTATACCTGGACCCAGGCATCCCCACAGCACAGAAGCACACACCTGTTGTCTTCCTTGTTTTTCTTCCTCAAGGCTGTTTCCTGGAACTCAGTTTTCTGTCGTAGATGATGTTTTTTATCTGGCCCTTTGTTTCGTGACTAATTGCACCCTCTTCAAGCTCTTGTTACATTTGGAAACCTGCCCAAATTTATCAGTGATGCACAGGCAGTTTTAGCTCCACCTGCCTGATATCTGCCTCCCTTCGTTAGTTCTACGCTGAAGCAGACATGAGTGGTACCCAAAAGAGCTCCTCGAACCGCAACTTCTGTTGCATCAACCAGAAACTTTGGGGAAGAGACCAGAACTGAATATAGACAATGAAATCATACTGGGGAACCTGCTGGAGTGAGTGATGCAAAGCTGGCTACTCTATCAACTATACAGTTGAGATTTAGGAGATGCTCGTTTTCAGGCAGCCGTCAACCAGCAGTGCAGACTGTGCTTCCTGAGAGAGAAGAAACTTAGGAGATAAACTCCCATTTCCCAGCTCTCTGCTGGGGCAGGCTTCCAAAATGCAGTGTCACCTTCCAAAATGCAGTGTCACCAGCCGGAGTCAGAGCAGAATACAGTGACCCAACTCTGCCGAGGAGGAAGGGGCCAGCGCTCAAGCAGCTGAAGCCCTGGAGTCCGAGGAGCAGAGAAGCGGAAAGAAGGATCCGTGTGGAGAGCAGGCCCCACACTGTGGAAGCTGACTGTGAATCTGTGGAACGGGGCAGGGCTGTGCATTCCCAGGGCAAGGCAACCACAGGCTCACCAGAGAGAAGCTGCTAGAGGATTGAGAGTGAAGCCCCCCTCCAGTCCCCACGTCGACATCCAGCCGAGACCCCCTACAGCCCGGCACCAAATGAGTAAGGACCACAGACTACAGTGAGACCCGCCTAGGCCAGCCCGAACAAAGCCTAAACCAATTCAGAATAGGATTTTTAGGGAAGACAGTTTGGAATGTGAGTCCCACCAAGATACAGAGTGTTCCAAGTTGTAGATGCTTCCCAGAGATCCACCCTAGCAAAGTGTTGAACAAAAACTGCACAAGATTAAGGTCATTCTCCAGTAACTGACGGCTAGAACAAAAATCAGAAACATGATACAGCTCAGAGTCTGTAAATGCATTATTATGATACCTCATACACAATCAAAATCATCAGATATTGACCAGGCACGGTTGTTTATGCCTGTAATCCCAGCACTTTGGGAGACCAAGATGGGAAGATTGCTTGAGGCTAGGAGTTTCAGACCAGCCTGGGCAACATAGTGAGACTCTGTCTCTACAAAAAAATGGTTAAAAATTAGCCAGACATGGTGGTGCATGCTTGTGGTCCCAGCTACACGGTAGGTTGAGGCAGGAGGGTCTATTGAGCCTGGGAGGTTGAGGATGCCATGAGTTATGATCACACCACTGCATTCCAGCCAGGGCAACAGAGCAAGACCCCGTCTCAAAAAACAAATCATCAGATATTAAAAGATATAGGTAAATTTAATTCACTGTTAAAAAAAATAAACCTGATATGGTCTAGATATTGGACATGGCAAATGATGACTGTAAGCAGCTATTATAGACATCTTCCAAAAAATCCAAGAAAACTGTTCAAATAATTAAAGGAAAACATTGTCTTCATGAATGGATAAATAGGGAATCTCAGTAGAGTAATTGAAGCTATTTTTTAAAATGGGAATCCTAGAACTGAAAAGTACAGTAGTTAGAAATTTTAAATACACCAAATTTGACTTCAAAAATCAACAACGTCCAAATCCAGGAATCTCAGAAAGCCCCCAGTAGGATAAATAGGAAGAAAACCACATCCAGGCACATCATGAAGTGATGAAAACCAAAAATGAAGACAAAATCTCAAAAGCAGTGACAGGAAGACACTTTACATACAAAGGAACAAGGATAAGAAAAACGCCCTGGCTTCTCATGAGAAACAGTGGAGACACATCTTTAAAATGCTGAGCAACAATAACTGGCAATCCGGAAGTCTACATCTATGAAGAACGTGCTTAAAGACTGAGACTGAGGCCGGGCCGGGCACTGTGGTTCACACCTCTAATCCCAGCACTTTGAAGGCTGAGGCAAGAGGATCACTTGAGCCCAAGAGTTGTAGACCAGCCTAGGCAACAAGCAAGAGCACATCTCTACAGAAAATTTAAAAATTAGCTAGGGGTGGCGGTGTGCACCTGTAGTCCCAACTATTCAGGAGGATGAGGCAGGAGGATAGCTTGAGCCCAGGAGTTCGAAGCTGCAGTGAGCTATGACTGCACCATCACACTTCAGCCTGGGTGACCAAGCAAGAAGGGTCTCAAAAAACCCCAGAAACTGAGATTGAAGTGAAAATCTGTTCAGAGGAACAAAAGCTGGGAGAAATCCTCCCCTGCAGATGTGCGCTGCAGGCAACGTGGACAGATGTGCTTTAGGTTGACTAGGACGAGGCCAGGTGGGCCCTGACCTGCAGGAAGGAGTAAGGGCCAGGCAACGTGCACGGATGTGCTTTAGGTTGACTAGGACGAGGCCAGGTGGGCCCTGACCTACAGGAAGGAGATGGGGGAAGGTAAAGGAGCAGGTAAATATCAAAGATGCATCCTCATTCTTCTGTAGTCAACTTGTAAGACAGCTAACCTTTAAAATGGATTACTTGGTGACTAGGTCACATAGGAACATGTGATCACTGTGGCTGCCCCAATTCTCTTGGTTTTTAAGTGTGATTCTGAACTATAGCAGTGAAAGGAGTTGCCTGTGACAGGGCTGAACTTGTGGCCTCGCCCGGCTTGTCCCTAGGCCTTAAGGTCACTCTCACATGGCCACAGATCGGCTCTGGGTCCATAGACTTCTAAGTTCTGTCCACAGCTCTGAGACCCCACTTGGTCTTCAGCCTTGGAGGGGATTTCATTAACATGGTGTCTGACTTGTCTGAAGGCTTCTTGGCAGGAATCACCCATATCCACCACCAGCAGGCACAGGAGGACCCACACAGGAGCAGAGGGTGCCCCTGGGAGCTGCCTGGGATGGAGGGAGTAGCTCTGCCGTGAGAGATGGCTCATACCCCTACTGTGTGACACCACCGTAGAATAAAGCGCTGTGGCCAATCCATCGAGAGAACAGAGCTGGAGTGTGAGGAGGAGCGTGCCATCCACACTCCTGCCCGCTGCTTCCCAAGTTCAGGGGCATCCTGGAATTTCACACCAGCTCCTCACTTTCCCCCAAGCTGCCTCTGCAGGGGTGAGACTGACCAGACCCACAGCGAGGGAGAGGAACCAGACATGAGTAGCTCAGGCCCTCCTCTGTGATGGGTCCTCCTGGGCTCCGTCTGCAGAGGAGGTGTCCTGTGGCCATTAGTGCTACTCGTGGGAAGTGGGCACTTCTGAGGTGTGGTGTCAGGAAGCCCACTGTGGTCACACGCCTGAGCCATGCTCTGCAGACGCCAACGTGGCTGATGTTTTCATCCATCTTCTCTGTCCCAGCTGGTTCAGGACTTCAGGATGAGTCACTTATTGAACCCTCTACCCCCGGTATAATTTGGCACAGTGGTAATGACCATGGATCCCAGAGTGAAACTAAGCAGTCCAGATCCCTGCACCTCTGCAGTGGTGCAGACACGCACCCATTGTGCAAACCCTCTATGACTTACAAATTGCACATCTGTAAAATGGGGTATCAGCCACCCCGAATGCTGGCAAAGATCAATGAGATAATCACAACCTGGCACAGTGTTAGACCTCTGTGCATTACTGTTACCTCAATAATCATCATTATTATTCCACAATATGGAGCCCAGTAGCTTGGCTCTCATTACTTGGGAAGACCCTGATGATGACTGAGCTTCTCAGTCAAAACGGGGCCCCTGGTGCAGTGAGTGTGACTGTGTTTGTGTGAGCTCCAGATGGCATTTGCAACAGGGGGACCTTGAACATCCATGAGGTGGACCCCTGGCCTCACTGACAGCCCTTCACCAGCTCCCCTCGGCTCTGTTTCCAGGAAACACATGGTCTGCTGAGTCATGGGAACCCCCAGCTCAGAGGTTCCTGAACTGAGTAACCTCAACAAGAAAACCCAGAAAGATCAACAGGAGAGGGCAGAGGAGGAAAACCCACCCAAGGAGGAAGATGCCAGGGGCCTTGCTGCCCGAATGCCCATGACCTGCCCTGGTTCTATGCTGCATCTCCACCACCTGCTGCCCACCCAGGGCTGTGGGACCTCCTGCTGCCACCTGGCCACCCCCGCCCTGCCCCCCGCACCGTGCAGCTCTGCTGTGCCGGCCCCTGTGTGAGGCATCCACCTCCTGCCAGCTGGCCTGCCGCATGCTCAGGTCGGGCCTGTGTGTGGCCGCCTCCTGCGGGTCCTCCAGGTGCTGCCCGCCCTTCTGCCCCTTCCCTGGCCTGCAGACCTGTGACCTGCCACACCGGCCTGCTGCTGATGGATTATCCTGATAATCAACTCTCTGCTATTGTTTAGCAAAAGCCTTTCCCTTTGTCCTATTATCAGAATCCCCCTGCACTTCTCAGTCCCTGGTGACAGATCCACCTCCCACTGTGGCTGGAATTTCCCCTGAACGTTCTTGTGCAGGAAGGCTTAGTTCTCTATCAAAAATAAGTCTCTCTGCTCCTTAATAGTGGGTCTTTTTAAAAATTTCCCTGAAGCTGTTTCTCGTTGTCCTTTGCCTTCCTGACCAAGACAATGTCAGCATGGGGTTCTGTCCTTGGTCACTGCTCAGAGGTGGAGCTTGACCCTGGGATGTCGGGAAGACGCTCTGGGAAAAGCTGTGGCTGAAGCTGCTGAGTCCAAAGGGGGTGTCTCCTTCCCAGTAGTTTCAGACGAGGATCTCTCAGCCAGGACTCTTCTGGAGCCTGGAAACCAAGCCACAGGACGAAGGGCTGCGGGAAGAAGGAGGCTGAGCCTGGGGAACCTGGTGGCTGCCTTCGGGTGTCAGAAGGGCTTTCCCCCAGCACGCGTTTCCCCAGAGGCTGGATTGGGGCCACTGAGGCGGTGTGACAGGGAGGTAGATTTCAGCTCAGCAGGAGGAAGGGTCCCCTGAAAGCCAGGGCTCCCAGTGACACACTGGGCGCCTGGTGATTACTCAGCTTCTGGGTGCTGAGGGCTCTGAAAGGCAGGCACACTTGTCCCACTGTATCATAACAGAAAAAACCGGAACGGCCCATGTGCCCATTAGCTGGTGGATGGATAAACACAGCGTGACAGAGCGGTACAGCGGAATCCACACCAGCACTGAGGGCGGCATTGCTTACGCACACGGCAACAGGAACGCATCGCAGAAACACCGCGCGGGGTGGGAGAGGCCGGCACCAGAGGACTTGCTGTATGACTCCATCTGAATGAGTTCTAAAACAAGGAGAACCAATTCATGCTTTAAAAAATTCTCAGCAGTGGCCATCTCTGGGGGATTGGGTGAAATTGACTGGGGAAGGCAGAAGAGTTCTGGAGAGGATGGTAAAGTCCAGGGTCCTGATGGGGGTCCTCTCCCAGCCAGGAGGGAAGCCAGGACCACCCTCTCCCCTGGGCCTTGAGGGGGCCTGGGTGAGCTGTGTTGACAGATTGGCAAACTTCGTCAAATGATACCCTTGAGATTTGAATCATTTCACATGCAAAACAAATGCTGAACTCGAGTTAATGGCAGGTTGCTGCAGTGTGTGAGTGAAGTGTGCGGTTGCTGCACCTTCCCCTGCAGTGCCTGTGAAATATGATGCACTGACAGAGGCCGGCTCGGGGGTGAGTATCCGATCAAGCACAGTGAGTGACGTGCCAGGTGCAGATCCAGGGCCGGGCGCGTGGATGCCCACTGTTTAATTTTTACAACTTTTCTGTATGTTTCCGTTTTTCATAACAAAATGAAAATAAAGATAGTTTTTAAAAAGTAGTTCAGAAGATGAAAACAGTAAATGTTTTCATAAAAAATAGAAGCCACACATGAGATCCTTGCTTTGGAGAATTGGGCTATGATCAGAGGGAAGTGGGGTGCAGAGAATTGGGGTACCCAGCATTCAGGGAGAATAACGGTGGATCGCAGGTCAGCCAAATGTCCCAGAAGCAGCAGGACAGTCATGAGGAAGCCAACACTCAAACAGTGTGGCTGCCCCAGGGCAGGATGGCAGACCCAGCCCACCATTCCCATCTCCACCTTCCCAAGACCACCACAGGGGAGGGCAAGTGAGTTTACCAAGGATGAGGGACTCCAGCAATGAAAAGGAAAGAGACGGCCGGGCGCGGTGGCTCACGCCTGTAATCCCAGCACTTTGGGAGGCCGAGGAGGGCAGATCATGAGGTCAGGAGATGGAGACCATCCTGGCTAACACGGTGAAACCCTGTCTCTACTAAAATTACAAAAAATCAGCCGGGTATGGTGGCGGGCGCCTGTAGTCCCAGCTAGTCAGGAGGCTGAGGCATGAACCCGGGAGGTGGAGCTTGCAGTGAGCCGAGATCGCCCCACTGGACTCCAGCCTGGGCAACAGAGCCAGACTCTATCTCAAAGAAAAAAAAATGAAAAGGAAAGAGAAGGGTGTGTGTGGACTGCCGACCAGGGCAGAGGTGGGACCCACCTGCCTGGGAGCCCCACACAGCTCTGCTTCCCAGCAAGCCCAGCGGAAGGGGAGTGGGGAGGGCTGCAGTGGAGAGGGGGACTGAAGGTGTGAGCATGTCACCCCCTGGCCAGGACCCCTAAAGGCCCCGAGGGGCACCAGGCACAGTTCTCTCATGCTGGCCTCGGGCTCCCATCGCTTTTACTCCAAAGTGAGGCTGGCGATGGATGGACCTGCGCCCCGAGCATAGAGCACCAGGCCAACCTCCCCACTCAGGTGGGGGCTCCTCCAGCAGAAAACAGACCACACACACAGCAAGAGAGGAGCCCGGGCAGCCCGGGACCACCCTCACCCCAGCCAGGAGGGAAGCCAGCGGCACGAAAAGCAAGACCAAGATAAACTAACATATCACTGCACCCAGGGGAAACCAATGGTTTAAGGAACTTAAAAAATCCTAAATACGGCCGGGCACGGTGGCTCACGCCTGTAATCCCAGCACTTTGGGAGGCCGAGGCGGGCGGATCACGAGGTCAGGAGATCGAGACCATCCTGGCTAACACGGTGAAACCCCGTCTCTACTAAAAATACAAAAAATTAGCCAGGCGTGTTGGCGGGTGCCTGTAGTCCCAGCTACTCAGGAGGCTGAGGCAGGAGAATGGCGTGAACCTGGGAGGCGGAGCTTGCAGTGAGCTGAGATCATGCCACTGCACTCCAGCCTGGGCGACAGAGCGAGACTCCATCTCGAATAAAAAAAAAAAAAGTCCTAAATACACTCAGATATTCAGGAAGATGTTACATCTACCAAACAAGGACAAGATGCTTTGAAAATGAACAATTAGAACAATGATCCCTAAAATGTCACAGATATTAAACATCTCATTGATATTTAAAATTAAACAGAGAGGCTTGAAGGTGAGTGTATTAGGGTTCCCTTAGAGGGACAGAATAGAATGAATATATATATATATATATATATATATATTTTGGGGGGGGTTACTAAGTATTAACTAACATGATCACAAGGTCCCACAATAGGCCGTCTGCAAGCTGAGGAGCAAAGAGATCCAGTCTGAGTCCCAAAACTGAAGAACTTGGAGTCCAGTGTTCAAGGGCAGAAAGCATCCAGCACAGCAGAAAGATGTAGGCTGGGAGGCTAGGCCAGTCTCGCCTCTTCACATTTTTTCTGTCTGCTTTATATTCGCTGGCAGCTGATTAGATGGTGCCCACTCAGATTAAGGGTGGGCCTGCCTTTCCCAGCCACTGACTCAAATGTGAATCTCCTTTGGCAACACCCTTACAGACACTCCCAGGATCAGTACTTTGCATCCTTCAATCCAATCAAGTTGACACTCAGTATTAACCATCACCATGAGGTTGAGAAATCGCTCTGATTTGGAACAAAACGTCAAAGAGATAAAAAAGAAATGAGGAAAAAATACCATAAATGACTGATCTAGTGAATGTAATCCCTGATGTGTGGGAGTCCCACAAAGCGGGACAGTGAGAATGATGAGCGGATGCACAAATAAACTCCTAAAGAGGAGCATTTCCCAAGGCTAAAGACACAGTCTTCAGGCTGAAAAGAACCAAGTGATGCCAAGAAAAATGAACGGAAAAATCCTAGATATGTCCTCTGTTGAAATGATATAACATCAAAGATAACAAGTGGTTCCCATGGGCTTCCAGAAAATCAAACAAACAAACAAATGAACAAGTCACCCACAAGCAATAAAAATCAGATTAGCATCAGACATCTCATCAGCAGCACTGAAGGCTACAGACTCACAGAACAACACTCATGATGTCCGGGAGGTCAGCATTCAGCCCACGCTTTCAAAGATGAGCATGCTGTAAATAAACAGGTTAAACAGAAGATAAGCAGTTCTTAAGATAAGCAGTAAACATGACAGCAAATTATTAACCATAAAACTATTAAGTAAGCATATGTGTTTTTCTAAGGCTAAGTAGCATGTATTTTATCCTCTGGGGGTGTGGTCATTTGCTTTTCTACATTTTTGTTTGTCTGTTTGTTTATAGAGAAGGGGTGGTCTTGCCATGTTGTCAGTCTAGCATCAAGCTTCTGGGCTCAAGTGATCCTTCCACCTCAGCCTCTCAAGTAGCTGGGACTACAGGTATGCACCACCATGCCAGGCTCTTTTCAAAATATTTTAAAGTAGTGGAAATATTTTTTCAAACTGAATCTGACCTAGAAGTCAAGTCTGTAAAACAGATTAAAACACAGCTTCTCTAATTTAAAGTGGGATGGAGAATCCAGACACCTATTAGTTTGTCCTCCTCCCCTCCCTTCCCTTCATCTCCCCTCGCCTCCTCTCCCCTTCTCTCCTCTCTCCACACTTCTCTCTCTCTCCCCAGCTCACCCCCTTACCTAGGTAACATCTGAAATGTCTCCTAAGAACATGATTTTACAACCTTGTTGCTTTGAGTCCCTCTCTCTCCCCAAGCTCTAAGAGATTACGGAATTAGCATGTGCATCATTAGGCCAGGGAACAGAGCTGATAGCAAAGAATGGCACTCACCCCTATGTCTCTAACGTATAACTGTTAACAACATATGTTGTATCAGCCATTACTCACAGCTGACTTTCTCTATAATAAGCTTATTTTTTCAAGAATCCTTATGTCCCCATCCGTACACTAAGACCCTAAGAACTGAGAGACAGAACATCAAGGACCTATTCATCCATATTGTTCCAATTGCAAAAATGCATGAGGACATTATGTATTGATAAAAGATTCAACTCATCAAAGATATGAGAATTAGAAACATATATGCACCATACAAAGAGTCCCCACATATATGAAGCAAACATTGACAGAATTCAAGTGAGAAATAGTTCTACAATAGTTGGAGACTTTAATATTTCATTTTCAATAATGAACAGAACATCTAGTCAGAAGGTCAATAGGAAATAGAGAACTGAACCCACTATAAACCAGTTACTCACAAAAGATATGTATAGACACTCCACCCAACAACAGCTTTACTGGTGAATATCACCAAACATTTTTTTAAAATTTAACAAAAACCTCCTCAAGTTGTGAAAGAAAAAAATAGAAGGATCACTTTCTAACTCACTCTGTGAAGCAAACATTATGCTGATACCAAACCCACATAAGACATCAAAAGAAAAGAAAATCACAGACGAACATGACTTGTAAGTACAGATGCAAAAATTCTCAACAAAATACTAGCAAAGTGATTCCAACAGCATATTAAAAGGATTATATACCATGACCAAGTTGGATTTATCCCAGGAATGCAAAGATAGCTCCAGATTAAAAATAATCAATGTAGTATACCACACGAAGAGAATGAAGTGAAAAAACCCACATGATCTCAATTAACAAAGAAAAGGCTTTGACAAAGTCCAACACCATTTTATGATTTTAAAACACTCAGAAAACTAGAAATAGAAGGGAATTTCCTCAACATGCTAAACAGCATGTATGAAAAACCCACAGCTTGCATTATACTTGACAGTGAAAGACTGAAAGCTTTCCCCCTAAGATTAGGAACAAGACAGGATGTCCCTTTTCACCACCAATATTCAACATTGTACTGGAAGTTCTAGCCAGAGCTATTAAACAAGAAAAATAAATAAATAAAAGTCATTAAAATTGGAAAGGAAGAAGTAAAATTATTTCTATTCACGGGTGACATGATCATGTCTATAGAAAATCCCAAAGAATCCACAAGAAAGCTACTAGAGCTTTATTAAAGAATTCACCAAAGTTTCAGGGTACAAGATCAACATACAAAAATCATGCATGTTTCTATACACCAGCAATGAAAAATCTGATAAGGAAATTAAGAAAAACAATTCCATTTCAATGGCATCCAAAAGAATAAAATACCTAGTAACAAATATAACCAAGGAGGTAAGAGACTTGTACAATGATAACTGTAAAACATTGCTGAAAGAATTAAAGAAGACCTAAATAAATGGAAAGACATCCATGTTCATGGATTAGAAGACTTAATGTTGTTAAAATGGCAGTACTACCCAAAGAAATCTACAGATTCAATGCAGTCCTTATCAAAATTCCAAGTCTTTTTTTTTTCCAGAAATGAAAAAGCTGATCTTCAAGCACATATGGATTATAGGAACTCAGAATAGCCAAAACAATCTTGAAAAAGAGGGACAAAGCTGGAGGATTCACACTTCCTGATTTCAAAACGTACTACAAAGCTACAGTAATCAAAACAGTGTGGTACTGGCCTAAGAACAGACATATGGACCAATAGAATAGAACTCAAAGGTCAGAAATAAACTCATACATTTATGGCCAACTGATTTTCAACAAGAGTGTCAAGATAATTCAATAAGGAAAGAATAATCTCTTCAACAAATGGTGTTAGGAAAACTAGATTTACAGATGGGAAAGAATGAAGTTGGGCCCTTACCTAATATCATATATAAAAATTAACTCTAAATGGATCAATGCCCTAAATATGGTAGCTGGAACCATCAAAATCTTAGGAGAAAAGATGGGAAAAATGCTTTATTCCCTTGGATTTGACACTAGGTTCTTAGATATTACGCAAGAAGCACCAGCAACAAAAGAAAAAATAAATTGGACTTCATCAAAATTTAAAACTTTTTTGAATCAGAGAACACTGTCAAGAAAGTGAAAAGACAATCCACAGAATGAAAGAAAATATTTGCAAATCATACATCTGACTGTGACTCAACAACAAAAAGACAACCCAACTAAAAAATAGGCAAAAGATTGAGTAGACATTTCTCCAGTGAAGGTATGCAAATGGCCAATAAGTACATGAAAAGATGCTCAACAGTATTACTCATTAGGAAAATGGAAATCAAAACCACAATGAATGCTACTTCACACCTACCAGGATGGCTGTAATTTTTTTTTTTTAAAGGAAAATAACAAGTGTTGGCAAAGATGTGGAGAAATTGGAACCCTCATACTTTACCAGTGGGAATGTAGAATAGTGCAACCACTGCGGAAACATTTTGGTGGTTCCTTAAAAGTTAAACATAGAATTACCACATGACTCAGGAAATAAGGAGCACCCAAAAGAACTAAAAATAAGTAAATAAATAAAAAGAGAGAGGCTCAAATAGATCCTTGTATGTCAACATTCTTTGCAGCATTATTCATAATAGCCAAAAGGTATGAATAACCCAAGTATCTACCAACAGATGAATGGATGAATGGATTCACACTTCCCAATTTTAAAACCTACTGCAAAGCTACAGTAATCAAAACAGTGTGGTACTAACATAAGGATAGACACAAAAAGCAATCAAATCTAAGAGTCCGGAAATAAAGCTATTCATTCATGGTCAACCGATTTTCAACAAGAATGCCAAGACCATTCAATGGAGAAGGAATCATCTCTTCCCCAAATGGTGCTGGGAAAACTAGATTTCCACATGAAAAGAAACATGTGGTATATCTGTATGAAGGAATATTATTTATCCATAAAAATGAAAGAAGTCCTGACACATATTGCAACACAGATAAACATTGGAAACATTGTGCCAAGTGAAATAAGTCAGTCACAAAAAAAACAAATATTGTTTGATTCCTCTTACATGAAGTATCTAGAACAGGCAACTTCACAGAAACAGAAAGTAGAATAGAAGTGACCAGTGACAGTGGGGAGAAGGAAATGGGGAGTGAATGTTTAATGGGGACAGAGTTTCAGTTCGGGAAGAAGAAACAGTCCTAGAGGTGAACAGTGGTGGTGGTTGCACAGCACTGTGAATGTACTTAACCCACAGAATTGTTCACTTAAAAATGGTTAAAATGGTAAATTTTATGCTATGTATATTTTACCACGATGTTTAAAAGATAAAAATAGTTGGCTATTTTATGTTATATATATTTTATCACAAAAAAAACATTTTTAAAGGCAGTCAAATGGAAGAATAGGCAGTTTTAGCACACATGTATTGATAAAGTCATAATAAACAACAATTATTGAGTGCCTATCATGAAAATAATGCACACAAGGCTGCAGGTTGTTGACCTTGCTGAGTCTCAGAAAAGTGGCTCGAGTAGCTCGTGGAGGAAGTGGGGAGAAGGCGGCGCTCACAGAGCTTCCCGTGAGCCGGTGCAGCATGAAGATCGAATAAACCTGCTGAGGACACTCCGGGTGGAATGGCGTATCTTCTAGCTCTTCAATGTCCCTTCTGCTCACACAGAGCATGGAGGGTCTCCCCTGGACTTGCCCCAAGGGGGGTCGTGCTTTGCCCCAACCCTCCAGGCCTCTGCCACAGGCTGGAGGAGCTGCTTGATGCAGACACTTGACCTCGGAGGTGTTTAACCCAGATGTCCCCAGATCCTCTGGCCTTCTGAGGTCACTCTTTATAATCCAAATAAAATAACAAGAGACAGTGCCCTCCAAACTGTGGGGAACCTATCCAGCCTCCCCCGACCCCACCCCAACTCCTGTGGCTTTGGGGCATTCACACTCTCCTGGTCCTGTCCTGGCACCTTTGCTCCCACTGGACTGGACGCTGTGCTGTCTCTCAGGTACGCAAGTGCACCACAGACTCTGATATGTACAGAACAGGCCCCTGGGTCTCGGTCCCCAAAGCACCTCTTCTCAGACCTTCTACTGAGAGGTCGGGGGTCGGGTCATGACACACAGCAGGAAATGAATGCACGACTCAGGCCAGAGGCATCAGCTGGTCCTCCCTCCCTTGGGCCTCTCCCTGGCCATGCCCCAACCTGGCTCACACTCCCTCAGGGTTGCAATGACCTCCGATCCCAAGACCCTTTTCCCAAGTCCAATTTTTCCTCCAAGTTCCTGGTCCCTTGTGGTGGGCCAGTTTATTCAGCTTAGGAGAAATGATTGTTAAATATTCAGAATCTTCTCAAGCAGGTTGTTAAACTGCTCATAGCTTGAAATCAGCCAGGATATGAATATTTACACCACGGATGACAGCTAACACTCCACGCCAGGGTTCTCATCTCACCGCAGCGGGACAGGGGTACACGCCACACACCAGGGTTTCATCTCATCACAGGGTAATGTTTACAACGCAGAGACCAGCAGACACCACACACCAGGGCTTTTCACTTCAAGGGGCCCATCCACCACACACCTCGAGCCCTCACCTGCTGGTCACTGCCTGTGGGCCTGAAGCCCTCCAACTTTCCAGGCAGAGCCAAGCAGCTCTCCCTTAATCTCAGGATCCTCCAGGCTAGATGAGCCCTGGGGCTCTAGAGTCCTCAACCACAAAGGCTGCCGAATGTCTTCTTCTCAAAATTAAAAACAATTCACTTCCCATAAAGAAATCTTTCAACCTCCTAGAACAACCCCTCTGAACTCTGAACTGGACCTTCCCTTCACAATAATGTTTTTTCACATTCCCACTCATAAATAAACCCAAATCCTCTCTCTTTAGATGGAAGGAGCTCCTTTTTTATAGCTAGACCCAACCGTCTGGGCACCCATCAGATATTTTCACATCAATCCCACACCGCCATGTCTAAACCATGCTCCGCCCCGCTCTTCTCACACAATCTGGGTTTCTCATTCTGATTTCCCATGTCCCTTGCTCTCTGAGGCAGCAGAGGTTAATGGCTAAGAACATAGAATACGGGCCTGCCAGGCCTCCAGTGTATGCTCCTCTGCCTGCTGGTGCAGCCTTTTGCACAAGTTCTTCATTGTGACTCAGTTTCTCCATCTGTAGAGTGGGGATAATAACAGCCCCTACTTTACAAGGTTGATGTATGGGTTAGTGAGGTCATATTTACAAACTTGCTCAGAATACTTCCTGACACACAGCAAGACCTATCACATGACTGTTTGCCGAAAAAAATAAAAATAAATCCAGCTCCCAAGCCATTCATTGGTCTACGGATTCAAGATAAAGAGAATATAAAACAAGAAGAAAAACATCCTTGACTCAACTGAGTGTGAAGAAATTAGGGGGAAATAATAGTAAGCAATACCAAATGACAATCACAGAGGGGCGGCCAAGGGCTGCTGACCTTCTGTGGTCCACGCAGAGGCTGGGCTCCAGCCCATTGGCCGGCTCCCTCCACGGCCCCACGGTCCCGCTCAGTTCTGACACCTGGGGAGCTTCAGGAGCTAAGCTACGCTACACGGTTCATGGTGAGCATCCTCAAGAAACCACCCCAAACACCAACAAGGAAAGAAGCCTGGGGCCTTGTGCTGGGACAACACACACACCCTTGAGAGATATATAAGCTCCTAGCACCCAGACACTCACTCACTCCCTCCTTCCCATCCAGCACCCAGACGCTCACTCACTCCCTCCCTCCTGCCCATCCAGCACCCAGACGCTCACTCACTCCCTCCCTCCTGCCCATCCAGCACCCAGACACTCACTCACTCCCTCCTTCCCATCCAGCACCCAGACACTCACTGTCTCCCTCTCAGCTCCCCCAGCTCAACCCCCAGCACGGCTGCATCCACCATGTCCGTCTGCTCCAGCGACCTGAGCTATGGCAGCCGCGTCTGCCTTCCTGGTTCCTGTGACTCTTGCTCCGACTCCTGGCAGGTGGACGACTGCCCAGAGAGCTGCTGTGAGCCCCCCTGCTGCGCCCCGGCCCCCTGCCTGAGCCTGGTCTGCACCCCAGTGAGCCGTGTATCCAGCCCCTGCTGCCGAGTGACCTGTGAGCCCAGCCCCTGCCAATCAGGCTGCACCAGCTCCTGCACGCCCTCGTGCTGCCAGCAGTCTAGCTGCCAGCCGGCTTGCTGCACCTCCTCCCCCTGCCAGCAGGCCTGCTGCGTGCCCGTCTGCTGCAAGACTGTCTGCTGCAAGCCTGTGTGCTGTATGCCCGTCTGCTGTGGGCCTTCTTCTTCATGCTGCCAGCAGTCTAGCTGCCAGCCAGCTTGCTGCATCTCCTCCCCGTGTCAACAGTCCTGCTGTGTGCCCGTCTGCTGCAAGCCCATCTGCTGTGTGCCTGTCTGCTCTGGGGCCTCCTCTCTGTGCTGCCAGCAGTCTAGCTGCCAGCCAGCTTGCTGCACCACCTCCTGCTGCAGACCCTCCTCCTCCGTGTCCCTCCTCTGCCGCCCTGTGTGCAGACCCGCCCGCCGCGTGCCCGTCCCCTCCTGCTGTGTCCCCACCTCCTCCTGCCAGCCAAGCTGCGGCCGCCTGGCCTCCTGCGGGTCCCTCCTCTGCCGCCCCACATGTTCCCGCCTGGCCTGCTGAGGCCTCTGCTCAGGCCAGAAGTCCAGCTGCTGCCAGGCATGTCCCCCAGGGCCACTGGGCACTATGAGTCCCCCACCTCTCCCACTACTGGCCCCTCGGCTGCTCTGGTGTCTGTCTCTTCCTTGGAGATGCGTGCACAGCCTCTCTTCCCCTAAGCCCTGGGGGCTCCTGCTAAGCTCCAGATGACCCTGCCTCCACCCACTCCCCCGGCTCTTCCAGACCACTTCCCACATTCCAGGCCCCTGTGGTCTCGCCTCCTTGGAAGCTGCTGTGCCTCCTCTGGCCATTGTAGGACCATGCTTGGAAGTCCTAATAAACACCCTCCACGTAGCCCGGCTGCACTTTGCTCTCTTCTTTGAGTCATTTCTGGTTGAATTGCTGACCAGCCCGACAGGAGGCCAGGACACAGATGCAGCCTCCTGGGGCCCTCGCGCCCAGTCTCAGCCCTTCTCCAGGCCCCAACACACATTAGTCTGGCACTGGTGCCGTCCCCGCAGGAATGTACCAGTCCCAGGGAGGGTCAACGGAGCGGCCGTCCCCACCCCAGCCCAGCAGGCAAGTCCGTCTCCCAGGGCCCTGATGGGCGAGTGTCAGAGGTGGCAGCGGGGTCACTCGCAGGCACAGCCGTCCCCACCGCCCCACATTTCCCCGCCAAGTTGCCAGTCCCTGCCAAGTGGGGGCTGGCTGGACACGGAGTCCTGGCTGCAGACAGAGAGGATGGCTCGCTCCACCTGCAGCCCAGCCCCTCAGTCCTCACAGGGAGATTCAGAGTCCCGGGACAAGCGTCCAGGCTCAGCTGCCAAACCTCTCCCACCTCTCCAGATCCAGAAGCGGTCCACTTCCTTCTACTGCCCCTACAACTCCCGTGTCTGAAGCCTACTGCCCAGATCATGAATATCTTGAAGTCTCTTCTAACAGAAAATAGATAAAGCTCCAGCCGGGGCAACAGAGTGAAACCTTGTCTCCATTAAAAATAAAAAGGCCAGGCGTGTGGCTCAGGCCTGCAGTCCCAGCATTTTGGGAGACTGAGGCAGGAAGATCACTTGAGCCCAGGAATTCGAGACCAGCCTGGCCAACATAGTGAGACCTTGTCTCTAAAAATACAAAAATTAGCAGGGCATCATGGCACGCGCCTGTGGTACCACCTACCCGGGAAGCGGAAGCAGAAGAATCACTCGAGCCGGGAGGCGGAGGGTGCAGTGAGCTGAGATTGTACCACTGCACTCCAGCCTGGACGACAGAGTGAGACCCTGTCTCAAAAAATTAATTAATTAATTAAAGTAAAAAATACATAGCTGGGCATGGTGGCACGAACCTGTAGTCCCAGCTACTCAGGAGGCTGAGGTGGGAGGATCACTTGAGCCTGGGAGATCAAGGCTGCAGTGAGATATGATTGA